>NC_000008.11:16223738-16526769 GCF_000001405.40 Homo sapiens | reverse complement strand
GGTGGAGTAAGCAGGTACCAGGGTCCATTAGTATACATCTTTGATCCAATTATAGAGTAGCAATCCTCTTTTTCCTGTTAGTGTGGGTCCATCACTTATTCTGACTCCAAATCATCCTTTTCTCTATATTTATCTAACTGCTATCATAGTTTCCAATCCAGTGGAAACATTTTTTTTTTTTGTCCATTGGTGGAAATAGTGCTCTTGAGTACAAAAATATCAAAACCATGGTGAAAACCAGAATAAAATGTTTTGCTACTGAGTCATTAACCACTGCTTCAGTGGGTTCTAGGCTATGGGAAAAACAGCAACACATATGGGATGCCTGTACTGCAGCCAGGTCCTGCTAGGAGCATTTATTGCTTTAGATCCGTCTAAAATCCTTTTCTGGCCACTTTGGTATATGGGTCCAAATTGGTATAAGTTGCTTTCAAGATTTAAACACGTCAGTAAATATGAGGAAGCAAATCTCCTTAAGACTACAGCATGCAGCAAATTTTTCCTCGCACTGAAGTGAATATCCTATGGTTATTGATTCTCAGTTGAAACTTAAGTGATAAGGCAGATTCTTCTATTTTCAGAGAATCTATTTTCCCTCTTCAGTATGCATACAACTTACCAAGGCCGTTTAGGATGGTTTCTACTCTCCTCTCCAGATTCTATCAGCATGATGTTATTAATAGGTTGCATCAACATCATGCCTTGTGTGGTGATGTATTTCTAAAGTCCCGCAGATTATGATGTAGCACAGAACCTTAGGGTTGCTACCCTCAGGATCAGATGTTAATGGTATATGGCTGTTCCTACCAGTTAAAGCAAACGGATTTTTATGACCTCCGTTTATTAAAATGCACAGAAATGCATGGGTCAGGTTAATAGCTGCATATCACCTATGAGGAATTGTATTAATATCCTCCAAAAAATCTACAGCATCTAAAGCAAGAGCTGTAAGTAGCATCCCCAGCTGACTCAAATTATAAGAATCCACTAGCAATTTCCCAAATGTATACTCTGCATCATGGGCTAAAACGTTGGAAGTAAATTGAGATATACTGGAATCATAGCACCTGAATATTTCAAGCCTTTCATGGTGCAACTAATCTGTGCATTTTTCTCTGGAAATGCTGATTTGTGAGATTGTTTCCTGTCTGTGTCCTTTGCTAAACGATTTGCTCCATGAGGGCTGAAATTGTGTGTGATTTATTCATAGTTATATCCTAAGTAGCCTCTTTCACTTTCAAAATTTCTCCTGTGTCAGAAGCACTTACAAAATGTCCTTTGTCAAAGATCTGAATTCAAAATTTAGTAAACAGATTCCTTGGAGATGGTATGATGAATCCTCTTTTAATTGGAGTGTGCACATGATCTACTGGACAACATCCCAAGAGTGTTCTACTGAGCATCAATATGACCAGACGTACCTTAGGTTAAGTGGTCCTTTTGCGGAAATAGTCCTCTGTAGTAGCAAAATATCAAAAACATAATATGGTGCATGCAACTCTTAAATGATTTCATAGTGCTCATCCCTAGAGACTTGCTGAATATCTCTATGGGAAAGAATATTTAACTTTATACAAGTGGTTACAAATTTAATTGCAAAACACTATCTGCAGAACTCTCATTTGAAATTACAGAATTCAAATTTTCTGATGCATACTTTAGAAAATGTGTTATGAACAATTAAATTAGAATCTCTATGGAGAAAGGTGAATACCAGCTGACCAGTTAGATATGACTCAGGGCAGAGGATCTGGATTTATGTCTTAGCAAGATTACCTACTTTCCATGTGAGCTCAGGCATACTGTCACCTCTATGAACCATTTCAGTCCCACCATTACATGACTCTCAAAGATATCTCTATAGATTCAGGAGCTGTGAAAACAGAAACAGCCTGAGATTTTCTTTTCAATATGGACAAATGTCTCATACATTACTTTTAGATAAATGGGGCAGAAATTTGTTGAAAAGGACATTGTCTTGTTGTGGAAAAATGATAGAGAGAATAGACATGTGGAAATTTAATTTTTTTCCCTTAGCTCAGATTCAATTTAAAAAACTCCATTTTGGGCCTTCTTATATAAATCTATGTCCCTTAACCATAGCACATGTACATAAATTAGTTACGGAATCAAAACAATTACTATATATGTATGGCTGTTTTTTATCCTTTCCATCAATGTATATAAATTAACAGTCAATAATACATCAAGATCTTTGTAAAACAATGACTTCACCCTTCTATATTTTCTCCTCTCCTTTCCTTTCACTATAGTGTTTTTGAAAAATTCTTATTCTGAGACTAAATGAGCTCATTTTTATATCTTTGTAGAACTTTTCCCTTGATCTGTAAAATACTCTTCCAATTTCTAATCTCTCTTAGCATTTCAGTATGAGATTTTAAAGTTTCCATTTTCACATTTGCATATAATAAGAGAAAAAGGAGGCAGGGCAAATACGTTTTACATGACATGTATCAATAGAAATATATCATTTCGATAGAAATATAACTATAGAAATAACTGTAGGAATTTAAGCGTCAGATATTTCTGTGTCATATATATCAGCTTAAATGCTATCCAGAGGAGAGGATTGAAAAAGAATTCCTGTTAGATACAACGTACTTGGAGGTTGAATTTAGTACTGATGGCTGAAGTGGTAGATTCAGGGGGAAAAATATTAAAGGGTATGGCAGAAAGTCTTTAATTCTTCAAAATCTGGAGCTGGAGATGTGAGCTACAGATTAGGGCAGACTGTGGCAAAATTGGGAACCCGCTGTTGGCATCTTTTTGTCATCTTAGAGTGGCATTTAAGGGCAACAGCACTGAGGCCCCAGGAGAGGGGCTGCAGATGTACCTATGGATCTGGCAATGACTCTTTGACACACCAGACAGCAGACTTCAGAGAGGGGCAGAGTCACACTTGGAACGGAGGTTGAGCTGCTGATGGAATCCAGACTTAAATGAGACATATCCCTCTCTTAGCCTGCATACATAATTACTACAAGCAAACGTATTGATAATTATTGTAAATCAGATACCAAAATCCAAAATTTTAACTAAAATTATTTGTGTGTTGCTACACAAAGCTAGATATTTAACTATCACAAAAATAAATAGTTACAGAAAATTAACAAATGGAAAGTCTGTAAATATTTTCCACACATATGAAGCTATAATATCTTCAAATATAAAGTCATTAAATATTTAAAAAGTAATAACAAAAGGAAATGAGTAATGTGTATGACAAAGCCATTCACAAAATAAATACAAATAACAAAAACATGTTCAGCTGCTTTAGTAATCAAAGAACTAGCTAAGTCTGATAACATTTCCCCTGCTATGCTGTATCCATACAGTTAAATCCTACAATGTCACGAATATTACAAACTGCACTGATATTAGCAAAGAAAAATTAAATCAGGAGTTTTATTCTTTAAAGGAGTAAATATTATTTTTAAAAACTGTATTTTTTCTATTACTTAGTTTTTCGACAAAAAAACATGCATGCATAGAGAAAGGCCAGGAAAGATATGAAACAACATGTTTCTTAATGAATTTGGAGGATGAAACTCCAAATGAGATGATTACAGCTGTTTTTGTTTTTGCGCTTGACAATATTTTTTCAATTTCCTTATTATTATCTTTTTTTATTTTGAGATGGAGTCTTTCTCTGTCGCCCAGGCTGGGGTGCAGTGGCACCATCTTGGCCCACTGCAACCTCTGCCTCCCAGGCTCAAGCGATTCTCTGCCTCGGCCTCCTAAGTAGCTGGGACTACAGGTGTGCGCCATCATGCTGAGACGGGGTTTCACATGTTGGCCAGGTTGGTCTCGAACTCCTGACCTCAAGCAATCCACCCGTCTCGGCTTTCCAAAGTGCTGGGATTACAGGCATTAACCACTGCATCTGGCCTGTTTTTAAATTTTCAAAAAGTAATATATGTGAACCAATGTTCTGTAAGACCATTGTGCACATTTGAATGAAACTAATGCATATTTTGATGGACTTAGTAATAAATATGAGTCACAGTAGGTTCATGAGCATAAATCCTCTTAAAAATTATCTGAGACATATTATCAAAGCTAACACAGGGAGCAGATAGCTTTTCAAGTTTATTTTCTTTAAATATAAAAAGTAAATCACTCCAATGCAATTGGTAAGCAACTGAGTAAATACAACCTAGTATGCTCACACAATTGAATGTTACATGGCAGTCAAAATGAATGAATATAACTACATTAAAGAATACAAGTGACTATTTTCCTTTTACTGATTGAAGAAAATAACAGAGAGTTATTTAAAATGCTAAACTTTTTTTTTGTAAAGAGAAAAACTAAAACTGAGCAGTAAATTTTTTAGAAGCAAAGTGACATGACTTTGAAAATCGTAATCTAAAACCAAATCACAAACACAGGCTACAGAAGAATGACTAGGTTGGGAGGATGGCTAGTTTGAGGAATGGGCAGAGAAGTGGATATAAATTCTTGTTAAGTTTTTCATCCTGAGTGATGGGTGATAACTGAGGTTTATTTATTGTTGATCAATGAATGAAAATGAGGGACATACTTATTATCAACGATGAGAATGTGTCATGAACCAATTGTATGATAAATTTAAATTTGTGCACAAAAGGACTACTAAAATCTGAATTAAAAAATAATTCTCAGAATGAATATTCATCTGTTATAAAATATTGTATAAATATTTACTTAATATTAGAAAAATGTGAAAACATTTTTACTTCATTTTGCAAGGATATTGTCACTTTCTTAACACAATATGTTGAAAATAGAGCAAAATTCATGTGTTAAAGGGAAAATCATAAAAAATCATAAATGAAATTATGTATATTTTTGAACTGAATGAAAAGACAAGTTATCAAAATGTGTAGTATGCATCTAAAAAACAGAGCTTAGAGGGAAACTTACAGTTTTCAGTGCATAAATATATTAATTTTTGCTGAATCACTAAATGCCCATTAAAGCCATATTGATAATTTAAACTCTATTGGATTATTAAAAGCTAAAATTTCTCACAGTATTAATATTAAGAAAGCAGAACAACAGAAACTCTTGTTGAAGTCATATAAATTATAACAACAACCAGGGCTGATTTTCCCTTTAACAGATTAATTAATTATTTGGTTGTGTGTGGCTACTATCAAAATAGAAATCCTTTGTTAAAGATCTAGTTATCTTTCTAGTATTGATTTCTTGTTTAATTCCACTGTGGTCACATAACATGCTCTACATGATTTCAGTCTGTTGAAATTTGTTGAAACTTAGTGTATGGTAAAGTATAAGATCTCTGTATGTCTTGGAGCATCGCAGAGTATTGGTGAATAGTCAATTTGGTAAATGGTACGCGTCGGCAAATGTCACACGTGTACTTATAAAGAATGTGTATTGGGTAAATGTTGAATATAAGGTTCTACATATGGAAATTTGTCCAACTTTGTGTTTAAATATTTTGTACGCTTACTGATCTTTTACTTACTTGTTTATATCGTTATGAGTGTAATGTATGAAAATATCCACCTGTGACATTGAACTTATCTACTTCTATGTTTAGTTCTGTCAACTTTTGCTTTATCTAATTTAAGGCTGTGGCATCACATGTATACAATGTTAGTATTATTATGTCTTGCTGTGGCATTGAAAGTTTTATTATTAAAAATGACTCTCTTAAACTCCAGTGATACTTATTGCCTTAAATTCTAGTTTACATGATATCAGAATAGGTATACACACTTGTTTATGTTTTTCAAGATATAACTTATCATCATTTTCCATCCTTTTTCTTTCAACTTTTTCCATGGCTGTATTTATAAAGTATGTCTCTCGTATACAGCATATATTGGAATCATTTTTTAAAATCTTGTCTGACAGTCTTTTATTTGGGACATTTACTTTATTTACACTTAATAAAGTTACTGATAGAAATATGGTTAAGCCTGAAAATTAGCTATTTGTTTTCTATTTGTAGTGTCCATTCCTTGTTCCTTTATTTCTCCTTTCTTGCCTTCTTTCAGATTAATCAAATATGTTTCTATTATTCAATTTTTTCCATAATCTTCTAAGTTAGGCACATTTATATCATTTTGAGTGGTCATCCTGGAGATTTCAGTGTGGATTCTTGTCTTAGTACGGTCTAATTAAATTGGTACATTTACTACTCACTGAAACATGTGAATATCTTACAATAGTTTAAGTCAATTGTTTATTCCTTTTCACCCTGTGCACTATCACTGTCCTTGTCATTTCTTTCTCATCTGCATGTTGTAAAGCCCATGAGACATTATTATTGTGTTTGTTTTATCTTGTTAAAAATTGTTTATATTTACTCATTTAAAAAAATTTTTTTAGTGCTCTTTTCTTCCTTCCTGTGTGTTCACACTTTCTTCCTTCCTGCGTGTTCATACTTCTATCTGGGATCATTTATCTTCAGTCTGAAACAAGTCCTTTAGTATTATTATTAGTAGTATTATTGTAGTGGATCTGTTAGCAATACATTAACATACCTTTTCTTGTTTTGAAAGATATTTTCTCTGGGTAGTTGATTCAAATATAGAAGATTATTTGTCTTTTATCACTTTAAAATATTATTCTCTTTTTTTTCTACTTTTTCAGATGAAAAATGAGCCATAAGTTTTACTGCTTTTCCTTTGAAGAAAACATTTCTATTTTCTCTGGCTACTTTTAAGATTGTTTTTGTGTCTTTAATATTGTTCTTGCCTATTTACTTTTTTCTTTCTGAGATCCAATTACATTTTTGACAAAACTTTTGACAGCTTTCCATATGTTTCTCTCATTATGTTATTTTTTCTTTTTTTCTGTACCTTTATTCTTTATCTCTGTACCTCAGTTGGATTATTTGCTAGTGAACTTTCTTAGTTTACTACTCTTATCTTCAACTGTGTTCAAACTGTTTTTAACCCATCCATTGTGTATTTATTGCAGATATTTTAGTTTTTGCTTATATAATACTCATTAGATTGCTTTTATGTAGATTCCAATTTTCCATTGACATTCTTGATGTCTTCATTATGTTGTACCATAAGTCTGTTCGGTCTACTATAAAAAATACCATAAACTGAGTAGCTTATAAACAATAAAACTTATTTCTCACAGTTCTAGGAGCTGGGAAGCCCAAGATCAAGGGAGATTTTGTGTTTGTTGAGGGTTTGCTTTCTGGCTCACAGACATTGCCTTCTTGCTGGGTCCTCACATAATGGAAGAGGCCCATACACTCTCTGGAGTCTCTTTTATAAGGGTACTAATCCCGTTCATGTAGGCTTCACCCTCATGACCTTAATCTTTGGGAGGTGTCCCAAAGGCCCCGTCTCCTACCATCATCACCTTGGTGGTTTGGATTTCAACCTATAAATTTTGAGCATGACAGGACCATTCAGTCCATTACATACCCTTTCTTCTCTATATTGAATATATTAAACATATTTATTTTAAAATTTTCTATCTATTAATTCCAATATTTGAAAACCTGTGGGTCTTTCAAAAATATGTGCTTTTTCCTCTTGGTTTTTAGTTATTTTGGATCCTAGCATGCCTCATACATTTTTATTGGATTTCAGACATTGAGAATAAGAAACTGTAGCATCTCTGCACGGCATTAGATTTTTACTTGAGAATGTGAAAAATTTTTTGTAACAAGGAGATAAAGTAGCAGTGTGTCACCTTGCCGCTGTCAAAGTATGATTTTAGACTTTGTTAGAGTTGTTCCTATAAATTTCCTCTTACTTTTAAGGCATGGGTCATAATCATAGATGATGACCCTATCTCCAGGGTCATGGTCCTTCTTGAGATTCACGTAAAAGCTCATTGTATTCATAAAGATATCGTCATCTTTACAAGGCTTGGACTAATCTCTTTCTTTTCAGATCATGTGGCTGCTGCAATCCCTGCTCGGCCTCCGAGATGCTATTTTCCACTGGGTTTCTTGGAGTTTCACCCTGTGTATGTGGAGGTTTCAAATTAATGCATTTTAGTCAGGCATGTACATAGGAGGAAAAATGATGGTTCACTGGCTACGTGTATTTTTGGGGCAGGTTAAGTAAGATTACAGAGCCATGCTGACTTGTCCCCTTGTGTAATGCCCCACGGACCCCTTTTGCAGGAAGCTTTGCATCTCTTGCACCTTCCTGCATCAGCAAGTAACTCTTTTGCAAGATAACCAGTCCTACAGTATACGAGCAGATTACCAAATGGTTACAAGTTCCTGATACCTGGTATGTCCTGGGAAAGAGAATAAAAGTCTCTTACTCCTGATGTAGCTCCCACATTCTCCAGCCAGTCAGCACTAAAAGCCCAGGAAACTATTAGCTACAAATTCCTGCCTTGGGGGGTAGGGTTGTCTCCGGGATCCCACATGTGCAGCTAGGCTCAAGGTTTAGCTTATAGTGACCTTTCCCTCATTTTATTGGTAAAAAACACACTCCTACGTGGAGATTTTTATCTGCTAATGATACGTGCAATGCATGTGAGAGCATGTAGATGCTGAGCGCATTCACCAACCACAGGTCTGCCTTTGCATACTTGACCTCACCCGTATTTTATGAATGTTTGTGTACAACTCCCATGAAAGGAATTCCTCTTAGGATACTAGCTGTTATCTCTCCCTTTGAGCAGCCCACTCTGCCTCTCAGAGTGTACTTTTGCTTTGCAGTAAACTTCTTTGCCTACTCTTGCTTTGGACTTGTTATCAAATTCTTTGTGTGGTGAATGAAGTCAAGAACCTGAACCGGCCCACCAGCAACATTTTCAGATTAGTAAATACTGGCAAGTAGTTTTCCAAAGTGGATTAACTAATCCATATTTCCACTAGCAAGGATAAAATTTTCCTTTGTTTCACATCTTTGTTAATTCTGCACATTACAGTAAATTTTATTACTGGATTTTCCCACCGAATGACAAAATAATTGTATCCTAATCATTACGACAACTGAAAGCTGGTCCCCACATTTCTGAATGCACCTCGGGGAAAGTAATATCTCTGTTGATAACCGCTAAACTATGCTCATGTTGTATAGTCAAATAAAGCTATTTCAATGCGAAGGGAATGCTCCAAAGTTGAGGGCAGCAGTGTAGAGCTCTTAACATATGACGCCCTTTACTGCTATTTTATTGCACTAGTCACTTTTTTTGGTGATTTTTGTTTAAACCCGTCTCCATATTTGACTGTAAGCTTCATGAGTTGGCTTTGTTTGCCACTGGTGCTGGCAAGTGACAATCAGTAAATACTTGTGGATTGAAATAATTACTGAATGCTTAATGCTTTAATTGATCAAAAACCTGCCATGGCAGAGAAATAGAGAGATTAACAGTGAGATCCCGGATGGGAAAATGAGAAGGTTACAGTGTTTGCCATCAGACAGGCATGCAAAACTTTTCAAGAAAACAGAGGTCATCCTCAGAGTTAGAACTTAGTTTAGAGCCCCTGTATAACCAAATATTCTGTTGTGAATAGAATATAACGTCTTGAATGGAAAGGTCTCAGTTTGACTTTGCATAAAGCCAACCTTGTGAACTTGTTACCAAGATTAACATGCTTTCAAGAAGAGTCCATATTTTTTCCCAGTTACCTATTTTGAATAACAGACATGAAGTAATCTTACAGATTCTGATGGCTTATTATTCCTCTCGGCACATCTATATGATAAGCTTTCCAATTCCCATTTGATAGGTGAGGAAAGTCACTGAAACATTTTCTTGGATGTGGATAGATGGTTTGAAACACTCTCTGTACTGTTTTTAAAAAGAATATCACCCACTCGGCTACGTGACAACTTTATTGACACTGTAGCCACATGAAATTTATGTTTTATGGTTCCCCTTTTACCTGTAAATTTACCAGTCACAGAGGTTACTTGACCCAGACAGAGCCCTAAATCAATTTCACTAAGTTATTTGAACTTTACCCTGGTGGTGAAATAAATAGCAGTGTATCTACCACTGCTGTGAAGACATCTTGGTACATCAGTGTTTTGTGATAACAACTTTGGAAAAATAAAACACCACACCAATTAGAGATACCGGAATGCTGAAACACAGCTTTAATTTTTTACTATATAAGCAGCCAAAGGTTTTTTTAAAATTATTATTACTAAGTGTGTTTTGATCCACTATGCTATACTTCTTTTCTAAATGAAGAAATCTATACTGTTGATTAAGACTTAGAGCTTTCAACTTTAGTTAATTTTGATATCTACATATGGCATTAATCTCATTTGTTCTACTTGGTGGAACTTTTATAAAATTCTTACTTATTTTAGTTGTGTTCAATGGCCCAAATGTACTTTTTCTAGTCTCTTCCTTGTTTTCTTTCAAATGTTTCTAATATATAACTGTATGCCCACAAAAAGACATGATTTTTGAGATTTATGTTTTGTTGTTATCTTGGTATATTAGTTGATAGAAGGGGCTTAATTGTTTCACTGCAAGAGATCAGATTTTGAATTTGAGATTATTATATTTGAAACACAATTGTGCAATAACAAGATGTTCATACAAAGCCTTGGTCACATATCAAGTATTTTATCTCAAGAGCAAGATAATTGGTATTTAGAGGATCTACCCTAGCAGGGAAAGTCAAAGTTAGGATCTCATTGATAGGGAATATATCACAATTGTTTTCCATTCATCGTATGCTGGCTGGGTTTTTCAAGAATTTGGCTGGATTAGAGAGGGTTTTGCAATCAGGAAAAAAAATGTCCTGGCACTGTAACCTGTGAGGACCCAGAAATGTCAGGGAAAAATAATGTAGTTTTTATAGTTTTTGCAAGTGAATCTTGGATTTCCAAATTGTTAAGTCCAAAGATAATGCTCTATGGAGACTGGCTTCCCTGGATTCTTTGAACCCGCTGCACACTGATTTAATGAACTGTAAATACACTTTAAAATATACATGCATTTTAACAGTAAAGAAAAAGTCAACAGCTAATATAGTGCCTCATGTCTTCAATTTTTTTTTTTTTTTTTTTTTTTTTTGAGACGGAGTCTCACTCTTTCACCCAGGCCGGAGTGCAGTGGAGCGATCTTGGCTCGCTGCAAACTCCACCTCCTGGGTTCACGCCATTCTTCTGCCTCAGCCTCCCGAGTACCTGGGACTACAGGTGCCCGCCACCACGCCTGGCTAATTTTTGTATTTTTAGTACAGACAGGGTTTCACCATGTTAGCCAGGATGGTCTCGATCTCCTGACCTCGTGATCCGCCTGCCTCGGCCTCCCAAAGTGCTGGGATTACAGGCGTGAGCCACCGCGCCCGGCCTCATGTCTTCAATTTTATATCACAAACATTTAAAATGCATATGTGTATTTTATAGATTTAACCATAGCATGTATAGAGTTTGATATGCTGGTCAATTCAATTAACCTGTAATTAACATCATAATACTGTTTTTATTTTAAATGAACATTGCACCGATATTGTCTACTCTTTCTTGTATCTTTGTCACCCAAGAAAAATGTAAACTTCTCAAGCAAGAGCTTTGCTTTAATTTTCTTTCATGGTACTTAAAATCATTTGCACAATTTATGTTTTCCACATCAATGCTGATGGAAAAATAAAATAGCAATAAGAATGCAGCAGATCTGTATTGCATGAACTCTTTGGAGCACAGTGTAGTAAATGTGGAAGGACAGGGAAAAGAGTTCAGCCTGACATTTTGGACTTTGCAGTCCAAGAATAAAAAGATATAGAAATCATATTACAAAGAAGAAAGGAAAATGCTAAATGAAAGTCCAATTACATGATGTATACATGTAGAAGAAGGGCTCCCTAAAATAAAAAAAATCAAGCTGAATGTCAGCTGAATTTTTGGCAAAAATAGAGAAGAGTAAAATTTCCAGAGGGGGATAAGAAAGAATGAGCTATCCAGATTGGAGGAGGAAAACATTTCTCTTTATTTTTTTTTCCAGGTTACTTTTGTTGTTATTTCTGGAACAAAATAAAAAGCTATTAATCAGTAAGAATCCGGGAGTTCATCGCATTGTCGTGTGTAGACAACAGTGTCTCTAGGTAGGAATATAGTTAAATTCTACAAGAGAAAAGGAATTAGGATTTTGAAACACACTGTGCATAAAAAGACTGTAAAAACATGTTATTACTCTGTAATTAATACTATTTATTTCCCATAATTTAAAAAAATCCAGTGAATTAGAATGCCTGAAAAGTAATTAAGCATGAAAAATTTGTTTTTTGTTGACACAGTAAAAACTAAATGGAAAATTTTTCTTAATATTCTGTCTTGCTATACTTTTTATTACTTTCAAAATACATTAACTCTGCATTTAATTTGCATTTTACTTTGTCCTTTAGAGACTTTCATAAATTTTAAGTTTTTCTTCTAATACGCTCTCCATGTTTATTGTTTAGGAATAATTTATACATGAGTTGCATAATGTATAATTCTGGTGCATATACATACATATTTTTATAAATATTGTTAGACTTATATGTGTATATGAAAAATTAAAAGTTTTATATCAGCTTTATGGCATTATAATGAAACACATTAATAATAAATATTCTAGGAACAAATTGTTGGAATAAGAAAGTATTTATTGAACAAAGAAATTTAGTAGGAAGGGAAGCAGAAAATACTATTTATTTGTTCACACTAATAAGGAAATGCCATAAGGTAAAATATATAACAAATTATAAAAGTACATATTTGAATAATTTATACACAATATATCTTAAACATTGAATAAAGGACTCAGTGGAAAATTCTTAGATCATTTACAATATTGTTCCTGAAACTTTAAAAGTATTTATGTATGTCTATAAATTTGAGACTCTTTGTGCCTATAATTTTTCTTTATTTAGTCATCTATTGGTACTTTTTTTGGCCTGAAACAATTTCTTCAAATTGATCAGGTTCATACTATATCTAACTTTAGCAGTAGATGAATTGTAAATCTTTCTAATTCTGCATTTTGTGGGATTTGATGGTATAGAATGTGCTGTCATTTTCCAGTAAACAAATGTACAAAAATTTGTGTAAATACTTTCATATTTACAAAATCTAAAAATAGATATATTCATTAGTCATATGATCTCTTTCCCTCATTTATTTATATCTATATTAATTATACTGGCTCTAAGCTACCACCCATCTAAAAACAACTTTTTGAGAGAAAAAGACACACTACAAATATAAAAATCTTATCAATTGTAGAAACATCAATATGGGCAAGGTCTGCAAACATATGAGTATATATTTATCTACAGGGAGAGGTATGCCTGTCTTCCATAGCTAGCCTTTATTCATTCATTTAACAGAAATACTGAGTCCCTACTGTATGTATGGAAGAGACTAGGTTTCAACAATAGGAAAATAAGTTAGAAGTGGTCTATACCTGAGAATTTTCAGTCTCTTACCTGAGATACACAAATAATTTCAATAAAGTGTTGTATTGTAATAGAGACGTGGCTATAATACTAAAAAGGAGCACTCATAATGTTCACTATTAATACTACTACAAGATTGCTTTGTGGAGTAGAATCCCCGTTGTTCTACTGGCATGGCTTGAGCCATTCAAATATTGAAGGGAATTCTGGGGTTTCTTTGATTTCAGCAAAGGGATACAATGAGTTGTTTTCATCATTGCATGGCCATTGCCAGAGAGTTTTACAGAGTGTTACTGTTGAGCATCCCCAGGCCAGACCTTGCTCTTATTCAGAAACTAAGCTTATGTCGGCCAGGCATGGTGGCTCACGCCTATAATCCTAGCACTTTGGGAGGCCGAGGCGGGTGGATCGCCAGGTCAGGGGTTCGAGACCAGCCTGACTAAAATGATGAAACCCCGTCTCTACTAAAAATACAAAAAAATTAGCTGGGCGTGGTGGGGGCTCCTGTAATCCCAGCTACTCAGGAGGCTAAGGCAGGAGAATTGCTTGAACCTGGGAGGTGGAGGTTGCAGTGAGCCGAGATCGCGCCACGGCACTCCAGCCTGGGTGACATAGCAAGACTCTGTCTCAAAAAACAAAAACAAAAACAAAACAAAACAAAAACTAAGCTTATGTCATCTTATAATAGAAACGTAATGGACGAGAAGGTCCCAAACAAGGCAAACAGAGCCTTCATTAGATGCTTCTGGCTGTCAGGAATTGGAGCTTGGAGTCTGAGTTTTCTCTCACCACACTCCGTCTGCCATCTCTGCCCTCCATCCATGCCATTTCATGCAGTTGCCTCCTGCCCTAGAGGGATGAACATGTTAGATGGAGAAGTTTCTTCTGCAGGAACATTGTTCAAGAACAAATCATCAGGCACGTTTCCTTGACTTCAGATTTATGAAACTTAATCTATTCATTTTCAATCCTCTCTGGAGGCCAGGGACAGATGTGTCTGTCTCCTACTTTAATATCTATTTATTATTTTGTATCTATCTGCCTATTTATCATCTATATAGCTATACACATATACATATATGTATATACATGTATGTGTGTGTATATGATTTCATAATCTTTGTTCCCTACTACTTTATTCTAGCATGTAAAATCCCTCACATCATATTTCTTTTTGTAAATGATGTTTCAATTTTACATTAGAGAACAGCAAAATGTAACGTGCTTGTTAATAAATTGTTCCTTTGTGCTTCCCATGCCCCGTGTACTCTTTCCTATTTTGCTTTAATGTCAATTGCAATATTCCCTACTGAGAAAGAAATTGATGTAAAATATAAGATTCATGATTTAATTTTCATAACCCCATTGCTGAATTGGAAGGCACTTGGCATGTATAATGTGCCAATTTTAAGAATGGCTAAGACATGTTTTTGTGTCACATTGATTATTCTTAATAAAAATGTATATATTTACTTAACCCCTTATTTTTGCAGAACATATTGATGCTCTGAAAGATAACCCCAGAAGAGTATGAGGAGACATACACAGTCTACACAGGTCTGTAAGGTAATTTTTAGAATTTGTGCTGGTTCAGTGCCCATGGGAAGCCAGAAATCGTAATCAGTGCATAGCAGAAAGGACATTCAGCTGGTCATAGGGAGTTACTAAGCAGATAAAGACAACATTGCTGAAGACAGCCTTGTGACAATAGTAACAGGATCAGGCCCAGTAATTAGGCAGTTTGTGGCAGTTGATAGGAAAAGACAAAGAATTATCTGTGGTTAACCCACACACGCAGGCACTTTGGTTGCTGAAGAATCACAGATGGCACAAAAAAATTGTGGATCAGATGGATCCCAAATTATGAGCACTGAAAATACAAGCTGATGTATTTTTCTAAAAGAAGGCCATTTTATACAATTCTTACACAAAATCACAAAGTTGTTTAGAAAAAAATCAAAAAGAACAAACGTAAATGGAAGGATATGCAATGTCATAGTAAAGGGAGAAATAGAACAGAAAAGAGTGATCGGAAGGAACTCTCCACAATTGACCTATACAAATACAAACAAAGTGATTCAGAAATTGTTCCTGTCCTCAAGGGGTTCATAGGTTAATGCAGGACGCATGTGCACGCGCACATACACACACACATATACACGCACACAGATGTGTAAATATCTATAAAATAAGACAAGATGTTATAAATACTACAATAAAGTTTAAAAACATGTCTGGGTACTGAGAATTTAGTAATTCTTTTTATGTGTGAGGGTGGGAGATTTTTAAAAGGCCAAATAAAACATGTGATGTTTATGCTACCTCTTGATAATTGAGAAGAGTTTGGAGAAGTAATGTGGACACAAAGTAGGAAATGAAGAATTAGAAATTAGTGCCCAAGGTCAGAAGGGACAAGATAGGAGAATGATTCAATGTAGAGATTGTAGGCAATGCACAAGATTGTATGTTCCTTTATGTGTGTGTATGTGTGTGTGTGTCCTGCCACTAGCTTTCCTAGGGTCAGGTATGATGATAGAGCCGCAAATGGGAATGAGTGTGAACATTGATTGTTAGAAAGCATAGCTGCTAAAAATCAGAAAAGTGTGATGGTAAGAGCTGGGCAGGTCATTTAAGCTTTGCTAATTCTCAAATCAACACAAACACTTTGCAAGAGATACACACTAGTTAGGTGATCAGGGAGTACTTGTAAAAGGTCAGAAGCTTGCAATGTACTTCCAGTACTTGTCTAAATCATTCTATATAAAATAGAATATCTGATCACCAAAATATTGCAAGGAATATTATTATTTATCCTTATCTATTAGGAAAAGAAAGCTAAAAGGCAGAAATTCTCAAGTTATTTTCCAGGTGACTGTTTAATTTATCTAATTATGAGAAACTACACGAATCTTCAAAAAATAGCTTCTTTCTTCAGATTTACAATAAGTGAACCGAAGTATTATTGACAGAATACTATAATAATTAAGATTGGTCTAAAATGGTTGAGATTGGCCAAACTCTCAGTTAAAGCAAATGAGCTAAGACTTACAGAAAAAGTAATCTGCCTTAAATGCCATTTTCTCTTTGCTTGGCCCCAAATGGCTGAATAAAAATGCTGAAGCTTCAGTCTCTTTAATACAGAAATAGACTTCAGTATCTGATGCTATCATCAGGAACTATGTATCTTGTGTGAGTGATTTTTTTTTGCTGTGAGAAGCAAGGTGTATTCATTGCCTATTTCTGTGGAACAAATAATCCCTGAACTTAGCAACTTAAAATAATAAACAGTTATTGTTTCATGATTTCTTTGGGTCAGGGATCTGTGTGTGGCTTAGTTGTGTGTTTGTGGTTCAGTGTCTCTCACAAGGCCGAAATCAAGGTGGTGGCCAGGGCCACAGTCCTTTCAAGGCTCACCTGGGAGAAGAAGGATCTGCTTTGAAGGTTATTCACCTGGTCATTGTCAGGCCTCAGAGGACCAATTTCCAGGCTCACTCACATGCTTACTGTCAAACACCAGGATTTTGCTGGTTATTAGCTGGAGATCTCTCTGAGTTCATTTCCTGCTGTGTGGCCTTTCCATAGGGCAGGTGAAAATATGGTAACTGGCTTCCCTCCGTAGGGCAGGTGAAAATATGGTAACTGGCTTCCCTCCAAGCAAGCAATTAAGAGAAGAAGAGAGATCATCTAAGAGAGAAGCAAAAGTCTAACCTCAGAAGTGCCATCCAATCATTTACGCTGAATCCTGCTCCTTAGACGCAAGTCACTAGGTCTAGCCCACACTCAAAGGGAGGAGGTGTGACAAAGAGGGGAATACTAGGAAGTGGGTGGGGATCACTGAGGGTCGTAATGGAAGTTACCTACTACAATCTGGCTTTACGTTTTAGTTTTTTAAAAAATCATTCACACACTCCAAAATCCCAGTTAATGGTTTTGTAGCTTACTGCATAATCCTGATTTGTTCTCAAGTTTTTAGTTGTCTGTATTTATTATTATAAGCTGCAGCATTTTTTTATTTATGAAAATAAAGAAATTGAAAACACAAAGGTGTTGCAGAATATGGGAAATCTATACTTAACAAACGCATGGAAGATGACACAATATCCCATCCACATTCCATTTCTCTTGTGAAATTTGTCACAGTGGAGGGAAAATAATGCTATGCTCAAAAGCCTATAGGTAACAGCAAACGATCCAAGTCAAAACAGTTCTCATCTATTCTTCAGAGGGTGTCTAAACTGGAAATATAGTTGATATTTTGTATTAAGTGCAATTGAATTGGTTCATGGTTTTCCTCTTTACATGAATTTACTAATACTGTTGTATTACAAATGGTACATTTTATAAGAGCCATAGTTTACTTTGTTTTTATCTATCTTTGGAGAGCAATCAAGAGACATAGAAGCAGATAATCAGAAATGTGAGGAAGGGTCTTTAGGAATTACATATATATTTGTTTCTATAAGTGGAAAGATGTTACTGAAAGGCAATAATTACTAATGGAAAGAGCTCAGTAGCTGGTTTTTAAATATTTCAAAATCGCTAATGGAAAATGAATATTTAGCCATGATAAAACTGTATAGACTAAATGATTAGTTTATTTGCTTTTTTCTGTAGTTCTATCACTGAAATATGAAAATTGTCACGTATCTGTAGTTCTCATTAGCATATATTTGCAGATGTGTGTATATATGTGAATATATATGTATGTATGTGTATATATATATGTGTGTGTATATATATACACACACAAACACACACACACACACACACACGCCAATAGTGTTGGTCAAATAAATTATTGTTGAGTAAATTCGGTTGGATGAGCAACACACCAATATTAGTTTTTTAAAAAATGTTGAAAACAACTACTCAACCCCTGTATTTACAAATGAGAAAAATTTGACACAGAAATTAAACTGACTTCTTGCAACACATATAGCCAGTTAGTGGCAAATTTGATGTTACAACCAAGATTTCTGATTCTTTTTTTTATTTCTTCTAAAAAAAAAAGTAACAAGAACAACAGAAAACGGGATACATGTGAGGAACATGCAGGTTAGTTACATAGGTATATGTGTGCCATGGTGGTTTGCTGCACCTATTGACTCATCCTCTGAGTTCCCTCCCCTCGCCCCATACCCCTCAACAGACCCTGGTGTGTGTTGTTCCTCTCTCTGTGTCCATGTTTTCTCATTGTTAAGCTCCCACTTATGAGTGAGAACATGAGGTATTTAGTTTTCTGTTCCTCCCTTAGTTTGTGAGGATGATGGTTTCCTGTTTCGTGCATATCCCAGCAGAGGACATTATCTCATTCCCTTTTATGGTTGCATAGTATTGAATGGTGTATATGTACCATATTTTCTTTATCCAGTCTATCATTGATGGGCATTTGGGTTGGTTCCATGTCTTTGCTATTGTAAATATTGCTGCAATAAACATATGTGTGCATGTGTCTTTATAGTAGAATGATTTATATTCCTTTGGGTATATGCCCAGTAATGGGATTGCTGGGTAAAGTGGTACTTCTGGTTCTAGATCCTTGAGGAATTGCCATACGGTCTTCCACAGTGGTTGAGCTAATTTACATTCCCATCAACAGGGTAAAAGCGTTCCTATTTCTTCACAGCCTCGTCAGCATCTATTGTTTCCTGACTTTACTAATCGCCATTCTAACTGGTGTGAGATGATATCTCATTGTGGCAAAACTCCTGATTTTTAAGCCTCTTTTATTTTGGCTATAAACCAAGACTCTGACTTCATCTAGGTAAGGGCCAACTTTCTGAACAGGAAGAAAGAAAATAATATTTTTTAATTAGGACAAGCATGAAGACAAGAATCTAGCCTCCCTGGACAGCAGATGTCTTTCTTCTTTCTGCTCCAGGGCCTTGTCCCAAGAACCTATGTAGCTATGATGGACAAGATTAAGTAACAAACCACACAAGGGCTGAAAGCTGCTGGACAAGTGCTCTGGTCACCTGTCCTTAGGCAGTAATTTTGGAAGGTATTTTGTATGCTTTCATTAGTTCTAACTAAACTGAAGCCCTCTGGAGGTTCATTATGACAATGTTGATAATGTGCTTTTGTTTTAAATCACCATTCATGTGGTTTGACATACATAGAAATATTCACCGATTTTATGTATATGTTTAGATGATTTGTGACATATATATCGTCAGTTAAATATCCTCAGAATCAAAGATGTGGGAAATTACCATCACCCCTCAGTTTCTGCACATCCCATTAGTCAATGTCCTACTCCCATCTCTTGCAATAATTGATGAACTTTCTTCACTATAGTTTTACTTTTTCTAGAATTTTATATAAGTGGAATTATACAATGCAATGTCTCTTGTGTCAGGCTTCTTTCACAAAAAGTTATTGATATTGTGCGTATCAATATTCCCTTCCTTTTCATTGCTAAGCAGTATTACATTGTATGGATGTGTCATTTTTTTTTGCTTATTCATGTGTGATAGACCAGTTGTGGTATGCCCACATGACTTTCTAGTTCTGTGAACATTCACATGCATTAGGGAGCATATGTGTGTTCATTTTTCTTGGGTAAATGTCTAAAAGTGGTATTGGTAAATCATTTGACAAGTATATGTTTAACTATCCAAGGAATTAACAAAATAGTTTCCAAAGTGACTGTGCCATTTTGCATTCCCACCAGAAGTCATCCTTATCAATGTTTGCCTTGACCAGTCTTTTTAATTTTAATCATTCTGTAGCATGTGTAGTGGTATCTCACTGAGGTTTCAACTTGTATTTCAACTAATGACGTTGATCAGGGTTTTGTGTGATTTTTTTTTTTTTTTTGCCATTTATATATCTTTCTTGGTTATCTCTGCTTTTTTCTGTCTCCAGTTCTTTCTTAAATTATTTGTCATGTTAATGAGTTAGAAAGAAGTCTTTATTCTGGATTAGAGCTTTTTAACAGATAATTACATATATTTTCTCTGATATATCTTTTGCTTTTTCATGTTTAGAATCTTTCAAAAGCAGGAGCTTTAAATTTTGAATGAGTGTAATTTATAATTTTTTTCTTTTATGATTAATGCTTTTTAACTTTTTAACTTAATGCTTTTTTTGCCTAATAAATCTTTGCCTAAGCTGAGGACAATTCTCTTCTCCTGTGTTTTCTTATGGAAGATTTATAGTTTTAGGTTTTCTGAACAGGCCTATGATCCCTTTCAAGTTAATTTTTTGCATATCACTGCTTCCATCCTGTTCCGTTGTTCTATATGTATAGCCTTATGTCAATACTGTGCTGGCTGATATCATTGCACATATTTTGTTGCATATTTTAAGTATTTCATGTTTTTTCATGTGATTATGTTGTAATTTTAATTTAAATTGCCATTTGTTTATTATCACTATATAGAATTACAATCGATTTTTGTATATTGCTGTTATGCCCTGTTGCTCTGCTAAACTAACTTAATAGTTTCAATTGGTTTCTTTAACAGATTATTTAACGTATTCTACTAAGAAGATAGCATATTCATTCTATACAGACACTTTTACATCTTTCTTTTTAATTTTTATGCCTATTATTGCTTTCTCTTCTTTACTGCACGGCCTAAGACTTCAAGTAGTCCATGATCATGAAATGCAATGGTTGTAATACATAATGCATTATCCTGAAGCAGCTGGCCCCACAGAGCTCTGACACAGCCTTCTAAAAGCACAGTTAAAATGCCAGTTTAGAGACAACACTCTGAAAGAATGGGTGTTATCCTTCCGGGTGCATTACATGCTTTAAATTAAAGATTTATATGGTTCATTGTCCTCAATAAAAAAGGACACCAAGGAATGAAAAGTGATATACAATCAGTCTCTAAGACTGAGATGGTTTGTGTTATGCATTCCCACAACTCCGATTTCCATTGAACTGAAGGTCGTGGTTCCCAGTGTGGCACACTCTTGCCAGAGTCAAATAAAGAATTCCACTGGGCCACAAGTTATGGCAACTGCCAGGGCTCTTTGGACTTTTTGTGACCAGGAACCAGCAGATGAGAAGAGGAGTCACTATAAATCAGAGAAACCAGCAGGTGAGAAGAGGAGTCACCATAAATCAGAGGCAATTGACTCTGGTAGACAAGAAGACGTAACACTGCTTCCAATCAGTGAGCGCAGGGGTCTGTAGATGTGCTGAACCCAGGTGATGTACTAGGTGGCTCTGGGTACTAAATACATATAGCAATACTGGCCTGATAAGAGTGTGATTTCCAGGGCTCAGATACTGCAGAGAAAATGGTTTGGGTCACACCAGATAAGCCAGTAAGACCTGCCAAGGTGAGAGCGAGGATAAGACTTTAAAATGGATAATGGAGGAGAAATAGAAGGAGTAGCAGTGTGGCCCTGAGCATAAATTTTCAAACAGGTCAGCAGTTAGTTCCACCAACTTTCCTCTTCTACATTTTCCCTCAGAGAGGGAGGGAGAGGCACTTGCACCACACAGGAGTATTGCTAGAACCTGCAGAAAGAAGGTTTGTGGGGTGGAGTGGGAAGTGGGGGCTGTAATCTCTTGCTGAGAAGGTGCAACTGACTGCAGGCCCCTGTTGCTGTCTCACATTTTCCCTGAGGCAATGCTGGTCACTGCTGTGTCTACCCGTGATGGAGCACACCAGCTGTGCTAATGCAGGCCTGTTCCCATGAGATGGGGGACTCCTTAGTGGATTACTTTGGTTTCAGGATTCCCCATCAACTCTTCTGAGTCTTTTCCATATGGCGCTGCAGTGGTCTGACATTCTTCCTACCCAGTTCACTTTCCTTCCCCTTTCCTTTTCTTCAAAGGTGTCAGACCAGCATTGTGGTCTAAAGATCGCCCTGCTTTCTTTGGCTCTATTTTTTTTTCACAGTTGTTTCCCCAATAAATCTCTTGCATGTCTAATCTCATTTTAGCATTTGCTTTTTGGAAGGCCCAAACTATCATACAAGTCAATATAAAATGAGCGATTATTTTAGACTTTGAGTTAGCATTTTCACAAAGGAAGATACACAAATGGCCAAAAAAAAAAGCATGTGAGTTATCAGAAAATGTAAATTAAAGTCATAGTTACATGTCATTTAACACCCACTAGGACTAAAATTAGAAACATTGACAACAGTAAATGTGTGAAAAGTTACAAATAGAACTCTCAATGATTGCTGGTGATTGTATAAAAGATTACTAAAACTCTGGAAGTGCTTTAGCAATTTCTTACACAGTCAATTATACACATACTTTTTGAGGTAAGAACTGCACTTCTATTAATATAAATGCATTAAATGAAAGTTTATGTCTAAAGATGGATTTCTACAAGAATATTCATGGAAGCTTTATTTGTAATAGCCAAAATTTGGTAGCAGCCCAAATGTCCATCAAAAGAATGGATAAAAATATTTTGTAGATTTTAACAATAGAATAATACTAATCAATAAGATGAAATGTAATACTGAATCAGAAAACAACATTCGTCTGTCTCAAAATCACTGAACCAGATACAAAACTTACTATATTGGATCAGGGTGATGGAGGCACAGAGGTCCTGCAAAGAAGTGGGAGGAGGCTTTGCGGGCAAAGAAAATGTTCTGTAGCTTGATTATAGCAGTGCCTTCCCCAGTGCATCAAGTGTTAAAATTAACTGAATTGCCAATTAAGAGAACTCAATTTGCTGGACATAAATTATACCTCAATTAAATTGATAAAAATATTTCCACACATGTAGATTCATCAAACATATTGAAAATAAACTAAATGTTCTAATTTGATGGAATGCAATCCCCATTGTTTGGAAGCTATGTGTCCACAAATAAAAACTCAGAGATATAGATTGTGTAAAAAAATTAACTATTAAAACATATGCAGTACACGGGAAAAAACTTTCTAATATTACTGACATTTTTATGGTTGCATAGCTCATAAAACTATGATCTGTGTTTTTGTAAAGTGCAAAGGGTTTGTGATGTTTTGTATTAGGTTAGAATCACAATTTCAAACATTTGTCACGTTCTTCTTTTTCTTGTATCATGTGATTTTCGTATAAATGCATTTCTTGCGTATGTACTTGAATTTATTATGAGTAAACAAACTTGAAAAATTACATCACTAGTAAATTATTGAAAGTGCTGAGAACAAAGTTGTTCTATATTCAGTAAATTTTTTAAAACACATCATTAAAACTTGTCTAAAATACATTTCTGGAGATAATTCTGATTATTATGCTCATAAGTAATGATTCCATGGTTTAAAATGAAATACTATTAACATTTTAAATGGTATATTAAAACAGTATTTCATCTACTGAGCTTCCATAATTCTTAATAAGTGCTACAGTATTGAAATACATTTTAGTTTGTATTGAGAAGCGCATTATATCTAACATTTCAATAACACAGTGTTTGCTCTGTAATATTATGGCTGTATGTATAGTTTATTTACAATACTTTCTGTAATAATAAGATTACAGTTATGGAATATAATTATTGTAATTTATTTATACAGCTGCTTTTTACAGTAAGATATTACTGTTATTCTGAGCAGTTTTTTAAAAAATGGGAGTGAAGGTGTCATTGGAGAAATAATGTGCAAGAACTGTGGATTCAGAGCCTGTCTTTCTACTTACCCACTTATCCATTTTCTTCTTCTATCATTTCTTTAAATACTTATATGTACATTTCTGTATTCCTGAAGGGTGATGATTTGCAATAAGGGGTATTATCTCATGGCATAAAGGGAGGAGAGATGAGGTTAAAATTCTGAAGCCT
Source organism: Homo sapiens (assembly GCF_000001405.40). Lineage (NCBI taxonomy): Eukaryota > Metazoa > Chordata > Mammalia > Primates > Hominidae > Homo > Homo sapiens. The sequence goes on along the minus strand of NC_000008.11, from coordinate 16,502,651 downwards.
GTTCAGGTAGCTCACTCTGCGTTCTGTGATTGAAGATGTGAAAAACAACATGGTAGTCTTCCAGCATTCAGTGTGTGTCCACATACTGAGATCTTAGTGCTTGGACCTGTACCGCCACTGTGCTTGGTTTTGTTCATCACTTTGTAGTTTGACCTCCAGAAATGAGTGGGGTAAAACAAAGGTGTGAGTCAGGACAATGTTTTAGGCAAGTTTGAGTGTCATGGGGTGGTAGGTTGGAGAAAAGTGTATTTTTAAATATGTTTTAATGTGAAAGAATATGTATGAATAGTAGTGAGAAACAGCCATTCATGGACAAATACATTAATGATGAAGGCTAAGAGGAGAAGTCAGGGGCAGATGGGATTCAGAGGAGAATGGGGCAGAGGATGTGTGGAATTCAGGTAGATCACGGGAAATTAAGGGAATTACCTTCTGGTGAAGCTTCTCATTTTAATATATCATTCAAGTGAAAACACAGTCATCAATTCACTTAAGAGGTTTGTAGGAGAATCAGAATTTAGAGTTTGGATCAGACTTTTCACCTTCCAGAGAGTAGCAGAGTGAGTTTATTAAAGACATTTAGAAGAGATGGCTGCTGAGTTTACAGGTATTCTACAAGGCTTCAATGACAAAATGCATGATGCATTCCTTGGTAAACTAAAACATATTGAAATGGTACTCCATTTGCCATGTTTCTATAATGCCTAAAATAAAGCAAAATAAATGAAACTTAAACTGCAGTTATAAAATGACATGTAATCTTTATGAAGTTTTCAATGAATTACAGCTCTATGTTTTAACCAGTAGATTTGGTCAGTTAGTGAAACATTAATCACTACAGAAAGCTAGACATTTTACAATTTAATTTTTTGTATGTATAAAAGGAGTTAGACAAAGTTTCTTGTTCAAATTCCTTGCTGGCACATAGTAAAAATGGAGCTCAGAAATTTTATTTTCCAGCCCACTGATTCAGTCACACTGATGAGGCAAAAACAATTCTCTCTGGTAAAACTGGTTTAAACGTGGCAATAAATCAATCTAAAAGCAACTTAAAGATTCTTTCATTTCTTTTTCTGACAGATTCACCTATTGACATTATGAAATTTCTGTGTAACAAGTAACTATTTGGTGTGTTCTATCAGGTCAAGCTTACTCACATCTTAAATGGTTTCAACATCCAAATTCCTAAGCAAGGCTTCAAATGAAGAAAGAAAATATCAACATATGCTAGATCGTTCAAAGTGACCTTGTTTTAATTAACCATTTGAAATTTTTTTTACTATACATCACAAGTACAACTCCTTCCTCCCCAAATTCCACCACTGGTCATTTAACAAACCCATTTTATATGGCAAACATGAATCTTCTACATGGTACACCCTTTCCCAAAAAACTGTCTCTAAAATTTCTAACCACTTTAGGTCCAATTCTAGTACTGCCTTTGCCAAGAAAGTGTCTCTAGTCATGTCTACAAACTATTAAAAAATAGGCAAAATCTGAAAAGACATTTTCTCTTTATTCTTTGTTCTTTTCTTTTTTTTCTTTCTTTTTTTTTTTTTTTTTAGATGGGATCTCACTCTGTTGCCCAAGCTGGAGTGCAGTGCTGTGATCTTGGTTCACTGCAACCTCTGCCTCCTGGGCTCAAGTGATCCATCCTCTCACCTCAGTCTCCTGAGTAGCTGGGGCCACAGGTGCATGCCACCATTCATGCCTGGCTAATTTTTTGTATTTATTTTTTGGTAGAGTTGGGGTTTTGCCATGTTGCTCAGGTTAGTCTTGAACCTCTGAGCTCAAGCAATCCACCCGCCTTGGCCTCCCAAAGTGCTGGGATTACAGGTGTGAGCCACTGGGCTTGGCCCATACATATTGAAGAGAAGAGATACAAATGGCCAACAGGAATATGAAAAATGCTCAACATCTGTAGTCATCAGAGAAATGCAAACTAAAACCATGGAAATACCATCTCACTCCTGTTAGAATGGCTGTAATAAAAAAAATAATGGTAACATGTGTTAACAAGGGAGAAAAGGAATCCCTTGTACATTGTCATTGGGAATGTAAATTAGTACAGCCGTTTTGGAAAATAGTTTGGAGTTTCCCCAAAAAACTAAAAATAGAATTACTATATGATTCAGCAATCCCACTACAGGGTATATATCCAAAAGACTTGAAATTGGTATGTGGAACAGATACCTGTACTCACATGTTTATTTCAGAATTATTAACAATAGTTAAGGTATGGAAGCAACTTAAGTGTCCATCAACAGATAAATAAATTTTAAAAATGTGGCATTCCATTTTAAACAATGAAATATTATACAGCCTTAAAAAAGGAAATTCTCTCATTTGTGATAACACAGATGAAACTGGAGAACATTATGCTAAGTGGAGTAAGACAAAAGGACAACCACTATATAATCTACTTATATGTGGAATCTAAATATGTCAATCTCCTTGAAACAGAGAGTAGGAAGGTGATTACCAGAAGTTGGGAAGTGCGGGGGAGGAGAAGGGATAGGGACAAGGGAGATATTGATCAGAGGATACGAATGTTCATTTAGACTGGATGAATAATTTTTAGTGCAATAATCTATTGCACTGCATGGTGACCACAGTTAATAATGTATTGCGTATTTCAAAATTGCCGGAAAAATAAATTTTTAACATTCTCACTACAAAAAATAATGGTAAGAGGATGAGGTAATAGATATGTTAATTTGCTTGGCTGAATGTTGGGGTGATCAGACCCAACACCAGGTCGTGGGGGCGATGAAGTTCGGTGGAGTCAAAAGATTGATAAAAGACGGTTTGAGAGAGAAAGGTGGGACCAGGGGGCCATCACAATCATGAAAGCTGCAAAGTCCGCGAGCTCTGGGAGCCCAATCTATTGGTAATCCAACAGAGAAACAGGTGGTGAGAATGTGGAGGTCAAAAGGGCACATAGCATTAAGCACATGATTTACAGCTGTGATGGTTTAGCATTTGCTCTGCTACTTGAGATAATGGAGAGCAGGTTCTTTTAACTCAAGACACAGTCAATCCTGGGAGAGCAAAGAGCGGGGAGCCAGCAAGTCTAGACACATTCCAGAACTACGAGCCCTGGATTCTATCCAAGCCGCAAGGGATTTTATGCCCTGGGCTTAGATTATGGTGTGTCAGGGTAGCCTTCCAACTGTTTAGCGCAGAGCTTGGTGTTCCAGAGGCCACAAGGGATTTTAGACCCTGGACCCCGGACATGTTCCAAGACTCTTTTATATTATGTCGACACGCAAGCCCTGCCTCAGCTTCTCCAAACACTCCACTTTTCCCAACAGTTGAAACTTTCTACAATGTATACATGAATCAAAATATAATGTTTTACCTTATAAATACACACAGTTATTATCTGTCAAATACAGATAAATAAATAAATAAAATAAAAAGCTTTTTGTGGAAGGTCTTAATACATGAAGAGTTAGCAAATGGTCCAACATTAATGGATTAGAGGTAGACAGGGAGATGGGAGGATGTACAGAGGGTAAGTGATTAAGTAAAGATAGCACTCTCTGGGGAAGAGCCTGGGCAGACATGGCACCTGGTCCTTCATTATACTTACTGTTTGCCATGAGGACAAGAAAGTGAGAGGATCAGGAATTACTGAAAATAAGGAGGTATAAATAGATGCAAGGTGCATTTCATTTATTTTTAAACTTTTAAGACTATGCTCCCCTTGAATTTTGTATGGTTATTTAGGGACATCCTCTGCTTTTATTATGTTAATACTATTAGTATTGCTGTTCACAAGTTATTATTTACATCTTTGTTATTTTCGTTTGATCATGCCCTAGATGCATTGTTTTTTAAAAGGTTTCTGGTGCTTGCAGTCAAACTAGAAACATTGGACCAGATTACATTAGTTTACAACGTATTAGTTTCAGTTTTATCAATACTATTCAATGAATTTTCTGTCAATTCTTACATCAATACCACTCAATTATTAGAACAATATAATATTTTTAGATTTGAGCATCATGTTTTTACTCTTTGTTAAAAAATGTGTTGTCATTTTAATGACCTTCATATTCTAATCAAGATTCCTCAACCTTGGCAACTGTTAACATTTTGGACCAGATAATTCTTTCTTGTAGGCACTATTTAGTAGAGAATGTTTAGTAGGATCTCTGGCCTCTACCAGCCTGATACCATTAGGAATAACCATGGTTGTGACAACTAAAAATGTCTCTAGACGTCGTTCAGTGTCTCCTGGGGGTAAATAGTTCCTGTTCAAGAACCAGTGTTGTAAATAAACTGTGACATCATTTTTTTTAAATTGAAAAGTAAATCCCACTAGTAATTTCAATTGGCATTGAATTAATCTTATAAATATAAGGGTAAAAATAAACTTCTTGACAACATCTGTTATTCTTAATCAATGTATTGTGGTGCCAAACCACAATGTTTCTAACATAGCTGTTTTTTTTTTGTTTTTTTGTTTCTTTTCTTTTTTTTTTTTTTTTTTTGACACAGAGTCTCGCTCTGTCACCCAGGCTGTAGTGCAGTGGCGTGATCTCTGCTCACTGCAAGCTCCGCCTCCCGGGTTCACGCCATTCTCCTGCGTCAGCCTCCCGAGTAGCTGGAACTACAGGCGCCACTACACCCGGCTAATTTTTTGTGTGTTTTCAGTACAGATGGGGTTTCACCGTGTCAGCCAGGATGGTCCCGATCTCCTGACCTCGTGATCTGCCCGCCTCGGCCTCTCAAAGTGCTGGGATTACAGGCGTGAGCCACCGCGCCTGGACGTAACATTGCTTTCTTAATGATTCACAGATTTTCTGTCCTCTCCTGAAAAATATGCATTATCCATTAATATTGTTGCTGTTATATGCAATATGAGAGATTTCTTCTGGACTTTGCCCATAGGAAGGCTAGGAGTGCTGGTCATCTTAATTCGTAAAGTATTTCATGAAAGTGTATGTGTGTGTACATACATGTCTCTGTGTGTAGGTTTGTGTAAACATAAGGCTATGATATTTTTTGTGGAAAGTTAGGAAGGCTGAATTAACTTAAACTCCATCTGAAACACAAACAGAGGCTCAGGAGTTTGAAAAGCTCCCTGTCAATAATCAGACAGAGCCAGGGCAATGTAAAATGGATTGCCAGGGTTGGAAAGGGTGAACCCATAAGTGACGCCAATTGTTTCATGGCATCTAGATACAATCAGTATTGAAAAACATTATCTTTGTGGGTAGCTATTTGTCTCATTTCTCCCATTGTGCTGGATCCTACATAAAGAAATTATTTTGCCAATGATAAAGCCAGACACTAGTGAAAATGGTAAGGACTCATTTCAATCAGTAATAATTATTGCAATAGAAAAAAAGGGTCCATTGTGGACTGAACTCAACTTTGATTTGTACAGAGGTACAGGAAATTCTAAAGAGAGAACAAGGGAGTAAACAGGAAAGGAGGTGAGCATGAGTTTGGTAGAGTCAAGGATGTGAAAAAATACAAAGGGTTAGTTAGTGTGACTGTGGTCAGGCCAGCTGTGCTTGCTAGCTGGAGATTATAGGAGATATTTATCATCCCAGAGAGACTGGGAGACAGAAGCTCTGTCCTCAGGTGTTGGATGAAACAAATAGAAAAATTTTTGGCAGCCTTGAATTTTCTCAAACAAGTGCTATAAGGCGGCCTAGGGTCATCTTAAGGATGTGGCCTGGAGGTGTTAGAAATGATGTTAGTGTTTGTTGAAGTCTTTATGGGCCAAAGTTAAAGCCTAGTGGAACAGGAGGCCCAGAGGAGCCTGGCTGGAGTTTGGTCAAAGAGAGAGTCTTTGTTAGTTCCACAGAGATCAGTGTAATCAATTTTCCCAGCTATTTTCATGTTTACGATCAGTGCTTGTTTGTTGAAAAGTTAAGTTAGCTATCAGAGAGAAAGTAAATTTGAAAAATGTAAAACTGAGCTAAAATGGAACTTCCATCTGTGTTCTTACTCAAAAATACATCATGCTTTGTATATCAGAAATCCATAATTAATCTTGAAGCTTATACAAATTTTTGTGTAATATGGTTGGGAATATTTCCTTGACTGCTACTAGTACATGTATAAGTTTGCTCTGAATTTAGAATGCCATTTATGCTTAATGTAGGGAAGATTATGTCTCACTTTGCTCCAGAACCAAACAAGATACATTCAACTACAAAATACAGAATGTAAATATATAGTCTATTTCAAAATCTTCAGAATTTATTCTGATGTATTATTTAATATAAATACCAGGTTGTTTTAAAAGTTTGACTTAATATACTTGACTTATAGGGACAGTAACTTTTAGAAACTGAATACAATATCTACATCATCGAAAATCCTTAACCTTATAAATCTCTAAAAGTGCCTTTAGCTATAAGTGATTTAACTGAGATCTAGATAAATCCCAAGTAACAGAAAGGAAAATGTCTTTTAAGAGAAAATCTAGAATATCAGATAAGGAGCAAAAACACAAGACATGTATCGGTATAAAAATATTTTCTCTTAGCAACAATTTTTCATACAGATGGAAGAATGTTCTTCCTGAAGCAGGACTCAGTGCTGGGGTACAGAAAATTGTTCCTGATGCTATAAATTTTTACTGCCAAGAGTTTTAAGAGCTATAGATAGTCAGATTCTGTAAACTAAAGTCATCTTCCAAAGTGCGAGGTTTCTAGTTGCATCTTTACTGTATTTACTCAGGTTGCCGCCATATATAAAGGAGTGCAAGAGTCCATAAAACTTACTCCCTCTGCTCTTGAAGGTGAACAGCACACTTTAGTAGCAAAAGAAAATTGGTAGTGAAAGCAAAACAAGGAAAGAAATCTCTCTGGGCCCTGCTTCTGTTTCTCAAAAGGTAAGTCAATTTAGTTTTAGTGGTAATAAATAGATAAATGATTTAAATAAAGACCAGCTCAATTCTGAAAAAGAAGAAAGTAACTTCAAAAAAATGATTAATGTTTAACATGCTCTCTTTAGAAATACCATATAGACTTAAATAGTCTGGACTAGTTTTTCTTGGAAATGATCATCATAACTTCTGGAACTATTTTAACAGGCGTGGAAATGTGCTTTAGGTTTTTTGTGTGATCAAAAATTGGAATGACTAGCTCAGCATCTGTCTCAGTCAGTTTGGCTGCTGTAACAGAAATACCATAAGTTGGCTGGGTTAAGCAACAAGTATTTATTTCTCACAGTTCTGGAGGCTGGGAAGTCCAAGAGCAAGGTGTCAGCAGATTCATTGTCTGGTAGGGGTCCACTTTCTGTTTCATAGAGGCCGTCTTCTTGCTGTGTACTCAGCATGCAAGCAAAGAGGCAAGAGAGCTCTCTGGGGTTTCTTTTATAAGGTTGTTAATTCCACTTATGAGGCTCTGCCTTCATGACCTAATCATCTTCCAAAGGCCCCACCTCCTAATATCATTACAATGAGGGTTAAGATTTCAACATATGATTTTAGGGGGACACAGATATTCAGTCCTTAACAGCATCCACACACTCAGGTTGCAGCAAAGTTCTAAACAGGACATACATTTGAATGATCTGTCTCGAAGAATATTTGCAAAGTGTATCATCTTTACTCCACAAATATATCATTCCCTGAAAAGCACATTTTACATGCCTTAAATGTGAGCCAGTGGGAAAACAAGCTCATATATTGAATATTAAGCGAGCTTGTCAGGTTTTTTTCATTAGATACAATTGATTTCTGAACTTATGACCGTGGATATTGCTAAAATATTTTTCAAGGCTATTCTTCATTAACTATTTTAAGAAACATACAAAAGGCCTTCAGGATGACTAGAAAGTGAATACAGACAGCCTCTTAAGATCGTCTATCACTGCTGATGTTTTTAAGTATAAGGGAAGGAGCATTGTCTGAGAAGTGGTCCTTTTCTTACCATGAAAAGTATTTTTTATTTTTTCTATGTATTAGGTGACAGATTATTATATTTAATGTGTATCTCTACTTCCCTTTTTCTAATCATATGTCACTTTTAAATCTAGGTTTGACTCCAATTGCTGGTATTACACATTTACTGGATATCAGTTAAAGTCAGTGGAGAAGGACATTTTAGCAGTAGTATTTTGTTAACACATACAAACTAAAAATGAAAACAAAATTGCAGTTCTCCCTCTATGTTCTAGAAGGTTAGGCAGTCAACATTTTTTAAAGATAGATAATTACTATTTTTAGTAATACATAAACCTAATGTTTAAAGACAGAATTTCTCTTTAAATTATGTATGTCCTCCAAACAAATATTACTTTAACTACCTGGATGTTTACTGTTCTTGATATTTCTATATAATGACTCTTCTTTCATTTTCATTGACTTATCTCCATCCCCAATTCTGTGTCTTTGCACTAATAAACCCTGATTAGATGTCAAAAATAGAAAGTAGGTTTTATTCATATATTCACTGATCCAATGAACAATTATAATTGAGTTCCTGCAGTGTCCCAGGCATTGTCCTAAGCATGAAGGTAATCGATAGATTAACAAAACTGACCTGCTCCCTGAACCTACTCAGCCTACTGTTTGCCAGATGTTGGGTATAACATTTCTCAAATTATTCCACTTAATTTTAACAAAAATCCTGTGAAACATATAGTATTACAATCTAGTTCTATAGATTAACAAATTCAAGAACATTTACTTGACTTGGCTACGTCATCTGATTAGAAAAGCACCAGCGATAATTAGCTCATAGCATATAGATGTCCTTCTCAGGATAGTTTTTCTTTTTTAAATTGGTTGAAGAATAAACAAACAAACAGACAAACTGCCAGGTCAAACCATTGAATACAGAAGATAAAAATCATGATGAAAGGATTGTTTTTCACTCTCCTTTAAAAAGTGTATTTTATTTATGTGCTCAGGTTGTTTAGTATTCTTTAATAAATGAATACATTAAATCTGGATTAATAATAACACAAATAGATGTTTTGCATTTTAGTTGTAAAAATTATAATAACAATTTGAGGAAAAGTTCTGGCTCTGAAGTAAACTGTACCATATGATATTGAATAGCCAATTGGTAAGGAAGGCAGAAAGTTAAAAAAAAAAGTTATTAGAGGGAATTATTATCCAAAGTGGAATGAAGCTTCTAAACAGAGATGTTTTCAGACTCTGTTCATTTCATCCTCACATCATGGAAAAAACAGAAACAGGCATAACAACTACTACAAAACATTGTGCTGGCTGACAAAAAATATTTTGGGTTATCTTTATTTGCCAGTTTGGGTCGTGGATGAAGTTTACCATCCTACTTTAGGTTTCTTCACCTGTAGATTTAAATACAACTTTGGATGAAGGTAACTGGTTTCTAAGGATGCTTTTTAAAACCCCTATGATGAGTATTATTACTCATATTGCAAAACAAAACAGAAAGCATTTGGTCAATGGCTTATAGGTGATTTTTGGAATTAAAGCCAATCTTTACAGAACTAATACAAGCCAAACTCATAAACTTTCAGATGAAATTGTCCTTTGCCAAACAATGTTGACCAATTATCACAACTGTATTTGCAAAACCATAGTAAAGGAAGTGGTATGCTATTTTGTTTGGACTCTATTTGAGAACTAATTAAAATGATCTAAAAATTAGAGCAAACTTTATTTTAAGATCTTAGATATCTGTTTTTATTTTAATCACTTATTTTCCATTTCTTTGGGTAGTCATTCAAATTACGGGAAATAAGAATTTCAATTTGCTTTAATTAACATATTCTTCATTTCTACGTGAGACAGCACTATTACCTTCATAAGATAAATATAGCTGGAAGATTGACAGATGTTATTATGAACATAAATGGCCGTAATAATCGGCATGAGTTTTGAATGCTGTAATTACCCAATGGGATGGACTAATGCTGAGTTTGACCACAAAAAATTTTCCCTGAAGCCTTGCATGGAAAATTTCATACATGATGTCAACTCATTGATTTTACAATAACGTAATTCTGGAGCAAATACTAACTGTGTGTGTGTTTTGTATAATATGCTCTTGATAGTTCAATATATCATGACACTCTACAAGGCAGGATTCAGGAGGGAGTGCTAACTTGCTGCAAAACTCTCACTTTTTAATTTACTTTACTGACTCATTTTGAGATTCAATGTCACGTAAGTCAGACCACAGCTTGTGTCATTCTTATTCTGATAAGAAACCATTTGGCATTTTGAAAAATGACCTCCATGTAATCACAATCAGAATACATAAGGATGTTTTAATGGGGAAAAATCCTTTTCTATTCAATCTGTGTGTGTGTTTCTTCTCATAAGCCACTAAATAAGCTGCAAATTTCAGCAGATAAAGTTTAACTCAGTTTGTTCAGTGCGTTTGTCTTTAGATATTGCTTGGAATAGTATGAACAGGGCAATCAGCCACTCCAAACTATTGCGTACTATCTAACATAATATGAGTAAAGTAGATATCACATTATACATATGAAAAGTGATTTCAAGAGTAAATTCGATTTTATTTTCCTTAGAAGCTAGTACTTTTAAAAGTATAATATTGAAGATGAAATACCATATTGAAATATAAATTAAGGTAAGAAAAGTGATCAAAAGCAAAATAAAATCTAGGTAGGAAAATGGATAAATCTTTTTAAGTTTTCTAGGGTAAAAACATATAAAGGCATCTGTATATGTATGACCTTCTTGTCTCTGCAACATATATAGTCATTACTTTACAAAATTAATATATAAACTTATGTTTTTCATTTATTGCTAATTATAAGATTAATATGTTTTGTTGTTATTCATCAAAAACAAATTAAGATTAAATATATCATAAAAGATTTTACAAGGTAATCCATTATGTTCACAGTGCTGACCACTCAGCAATGTTTAACAAGTGCATATCAACAATCACTAAATGCCTCTGTTCCTGATATACTTTCTGAGTGAGCAGGTGTTTTAAAAAGTGCTTTTAGGGCATTTTTTGCTTCAAATGTTGTATGGAATTATAGGGAGAAGGATCAAGTAAACTGGAGTTAAGAAAGTGAGAACTCAGGTCTGCAAGATGATTTACTGGAGGGCAGAAGTTGTAATTACTGAATAACTCAGTAAGTAAATAAGAAAGGTCCTTAACAAGCACAAGATAAAGCAATGGAGAGAATCTAAATTAAATATAACCAATCAGCACACACACACACACACACACACGCATATATATATATATATCTATATATATCTATATATATATATATATATATATTCAATGTATTCATTCAACAATTTTAATAAATATTTATCATGCTCTAGGCACACTTGTGGGTGATGGGGATACAGCGATCAGCAAAAAAGGCAAAAATATCTGTTCTTACAGCCTTCACGGAACTTGCATTCCAATGAGACACAGCATTAATAAGAAAAATGAACAAACCATAATGTACATTAGTAAGAAATTAATGCTATGGCAAAAATAAAACAGCGGAGAGGCGAAAGGAATGTTGAAGAAGTTGGTTAAACTTTAGGTAGGTGTTAGCTTTTTATTGCCGCTGTAACAAATTGCCACACATTTAAGAGTTTAAAACCACAGAAACTTACTACCTTTTGGTTGTGTAAGGTCATATAGACCCAGTGTGTAATGGGTCACACTGGGCTAAAATCAGGATATTGGCAGGGCTGCATTCCCATCAGGTTGCTCTAGGGGTAAGTTCTTTTTTTGGCCTTTTCTTGCTTCTATGGACCATCCACATTCATGTTGGCTCATGGCTTTCTTCCTGCATCTTCAACACTAGCAAAGCTGCCTGTCTCTGTGTGTTTCTTCCGTAGTCACGTTTCACTCTGGCTCTTCTCTTCTGCCTTGCTCTTCTACTTCGAAGTACTCTTGGAACTCTGTGGAGCCCACGGGGATAATCCAGGATGATGTCCTTGTTGTAAAGTCGACTAACTAGCAACCTTAATTCTATTTACAACTTTAATTTCCCTTTGCCGTGTAACCTAACATATTCACAGGTTTGGGGGATTAGGATATGGCCATCTTTTATTCTGCCTATAATGAATATACAAGAAAAGGAGACAAGGATAGCCAATAAAAGCCTCACTCACATTTGAGTAAAGATGGCAGGAAAATGTAACTCCTGCTGCAAGGGCTCTGAAGCAGGGATTTGCCTAGGCCTTCCAGAAATTGTGTGGCTGAAATAAAGAGCTCAGGATCAGAACATGAGCAATAGGAGAGGAGTTCAAAGAGTTAATGGCAAAATTTGGAGGTCAAATAGTGTCTTGTAGCAAAACAAAACAAAACAAAAAACTGACTTCTGCACTAAGTGAGATAAAAATCCCTATAGGATTTTAAGCAAAAAAGGTAACATTCTGCCAAAGATTTAAAAAAGTTAATCCTGGAAGCTTGTTAATGGTCAAAGGCAGCATCTAGAGAAGACCAACCCAAAGGTACAACAAGAATCTGTATAGAAGGTGAGGGGGGCCAGGGCCCAGCAGTAGTAGCAGTAAGAAGTGAGAAGCAGTTGGATTCTGGGTATATGTCAAAAGTAGAGCTGGCAAGATTTGCTGGAGGTTTACAGCTGTAGTGTAAATAAAAGTAGTTAAGGGACTCTCCAAAGTAGTTGGCTTTCACATTTGGAAAAACTCATTTGCCTTTTATTGAGACAGTTAAGATTATAAGAAGAACACTATGATTTTATTTGATTTGTTTTTCAGAAACAGAGTCACTCTGTTTGTAAAAGTCTTACTGCAGCCCTAAACTCCTGGGCTCAAACAATTTTCCTGCCTCGTCCTCCCAAGTAGCTGAAACTACAGGCATGTGTCACCATGCTCAGCAACAGTGGATTTTTGGTGGAAGATAATATTAGGAATTAATCTTGAACATGTAAAGCTTAAGATGGCTGTGAGACATGCAAATTAAGAGAGCAAATAGCTGAATAGATGAGCCTAGAGTTCAGAGAATATATAAATTGTAATAAGTGAAAGATTGTGTATGTTTTTCAAAGCCATGAAATTGATTGAGGTAGTCACCCAAGAGTATAGACAAGAAATAAAAGAGTCTAAAGACTAAACACTGGGACACACCAAATGGAAGTGAGGGGAAGGAAGAGGAACCAGGAAAGAACACTGAGAGACAAGAAAGAGAAGTTGGACAAGACCACGATGAATAGAGTCCTGAGAGCCTAGAGGAGAAAATGGTTCCAAGAATCACAATTACTCTATCATGCTGTTGTGTCAAGCAAGCAGATGGCAAAGAATGACCACTAGATTTAGTGATGTCAAGGGGTTTTGTTGATGGGCACAGCTGCAGTGGGAGGCAAAACTGTGATTGGGGTGAATAGCACACTGGGGGAAGACAATGAGAGACAACAAATAAAACTTTGTATACATTTTTCTTTGTGCACATGAAATGCTTTGTACACATTTTGCTATAAAAATTTACATAGTAAGTGAAGGAGGAATGGGGTAAATGTAACATTCTAAGATAAGAGAAGTAGTATTTATTGTGGAGAGTGAGTTACTAGAGACAAAAATTTCAGACATGAAAAAAGGGAGAATTGCTAGAAGAATATTCCTGAGTGTAAGCGGGAGAGGAATGAATTCTAGTGCAGACATCTTGACCTTGGCTAGTACAAGATGAAATTTATCCATAGGTAGAAAAAAGAAGGCAAAGTATGTGTGCACAGATGCTGAAACTCTAAGTGGTAGTGATCTTATGGAGGATTTTTGGGGTGGTCTCAGTATTTTCAGTGACACAAAACACAACACCAGCTCATACAGAGAATGAGTTTTTGGTGGTGTACGTTTGAAGGTAAAAGGCAGTGAGAGAACAGATGATTTAAGAAATATAGAAAAACTTTGTGTCACCATTATGGGTTTAACTGAAGTTAGTGTCAGGGAATTTAGGAGAAACCAGTTATCATGGTTCTCTGCTTTTTTCCCATCCCCATTCAGCTCTATCAGTACAGAGATACAATATTGGAGGGGACCAAATTTAATCAGGGTTGTGGTTTAAGCAAGTAACTGATCAAGTGACAGGGACAAGGGATTTGGAGTACAGGCAGACCTGGTTTCATTGTACTTCACTCTATAGTGCTTCACAGATCTTGAAGTTTTTTGTTTATTTGTTTGTTTCTTTGCTCGTTTTTTGAGAGAGGGCCTCGCTCTGTCACCCAGGCTGTTGTGCAGTGGCACAATGTCGGCTCACTGCATCCTCCGCCTCCCGGGTTCAAGTGATTCTCATGCCTCAGCCTCCCAGGTAGCTGGAATTACAGGCTTGCAACACCATGCCCAGCTAATTTTTGTATTTTTAGTAGACATGTGATTTTGCCGTGTTGGCCAGGCTGATCTCAGCTATTCCTGACCTCAAGTGATCCGCCCGCCTCAGCCTCCCAAAGAGCTGGGATTACAGGTATGAGCCACCACGCCTGGCCTGCGTTTTTTACACATTGAAGGTTTATTGCAACCCTGTGTTGAGCAATTCTATCAGCACCATTTTTTTTTCCGCCAGCGTGTGGTCACTTTGTGTCTCTTTGTCACATTTTGGTAATTCTCACAATATTTCAAACTTTTTCATTATTATTTTATCTGTATGTTGGCCTGTGATCAGCAATTTTAATGCTACTGTTGTAATTGTTTTGGGGAACCATGAACTGTACCCATATAAGACAGCAAACTTAGTAAATGTGTGAGTTCTGACTGCTCCACCAACTGGCCATTTCCTCAGCTCTCTCCCTCACTTTAGGCCTCCCTATTCCCTGACACACACCAATAATAAAATTAGGCCAATGAATAACCATACAATATAGGCTCTAAGGGTTCAAGTGAAAGAAAAAGTCACACATACCTCACTTTAAATCAAGAGTTAGAAATGATTAAGCTTAGTGAGAAAGGCATGTTGAAGGCTAAGCTACAACTCTTGTATGAGTTGGTTAGCCAAGCTGTGAATGCAAAGAAAAAGTTCTTGAAGAAAATTAGAAGTGCTATTCCAGTGAACACAGGAATGATAATAAAGCAAAGTAGCCTTATTGCTGATATTGAGAAAGTTTCAGTGGTCTGGATAGATCAAAACAGTCACTTCATTTTCTTAAGCCCAAGCCTAATCCAGAGCAAGGCCCTAACTCTTAAATTCTATGAAGGCTGAGAGAGGTGAGGAAGCTGCAGTAAAAAAGTTGGAAGCTAGCTGAGGTTGGTTCATAAGCTTTAAGGAAAGAAGACATGTCTATAACATAAAGGTGCAAGGTTAAGGAGTAAGTGCTGATGAAGAAGCTGCAGCAAGTTATCCAGAAGATCTAGCTAAGATCATTGATGAAAGTGGCTACAGTCACCAACAGAATTTCAATGTAGACAAAACAGTCTTCTCTTGGAAGAAGATGCAATCTAGGACTTTCATTGCTACAGAGGAGAAGCCTATGCTTCTCCAAACTTCTCAAACTTTGGAAGCCTATGTCTTCCAAACTTCAAAGGACAGCCTGACTCTCTTGTTAGGGGCTAGTGCAGCTGGTGATTATAAGCTGAAGCCAATGCTTATTTATGATTCTGAAAATCGTATCGCCCTTAGGAATTAAGCTAAATCAGATATTCTGCCTGTGCTCAATAAATGGAGCAACAAAGCCTAGATGTCAGCACATCTGTTTACGGCATGGTATACTGACTATTTTATGACCACTATGGAAAAAAAAAACTTCCTTTCAAAATATTACTGCTCATTAACAATGCACCTGGTAACCCAAGAGCTCAGATGGAGATGTACAAGGAAATGTGTGCTGTTATGTAAGTGACAACACAATATCTATTATGTAGCTCATGGATGAAAGAGTAATTTCAACTTTCAAGTCTTTTTATTTTTGAAATACACTTTGTAAGGATATAGCTGCCATATATATGGTGATTCTGATGGATTTGGTCAGAGTAAATTGAAAGGCTTTTGAAAAGAATTTACCATTCTAGAAACCATTAAGAACATTGGTGATTCATGGGAGGAGATTAAAATATCAACATTAATAGGAGTTTGGAAGAAGTTGATTCCAACCCTCAGTGGATGACTTTGTGAGGTTCAAGACTTCAGCGGAGGAAATAACTGCAGATGTGATGGAAATAGCAAGAGAACTAGAATTAGAAGTGCAGCCTGATGATGCGACTGAGTTGCTGTAACCTCATGACAAAACTTGAATGGATGAGGAGTTGCTTCCTATAGATGAACAAAGAAAGTGGTTTCTTGAGAGGGAATCTACTCACGATGAAGATGCTGTAGACATTGTTGAGATGACAACAAACAAATATTCAATAAATGTAGTTGATAAAGCAATGGCAAGGGTTGAGAGGACTGACTTCAGTCTTGACAGAAGTACTGTGGGTAAATGCTATCCAACAGTGTTAAATGCTACAGAGAAGTTTTTCTTTCTCTTTCTTTCTTTCTTTGTTTCTTTCTCTGTTTCTTTCTTTCTTTCTTTTTTTTTTTTTTTTGACAGAGTCTCACTCTGTCCCCCAGGCTGGAGTGCAGTGGCCTGATCTCAGCTTATGGCAACCTCCACCTCCTGGGCTCAAGCAATTCTTAAGCCTCAGCCTCCCAAGTAGCTGGGACTACAGGCGCATGCCACCACACCTGACTAACGTTTACATTTTTAGTACAGACAGGGTTTCACCATATTGGCCACGCTGGTCTCGAACTCCTGACCTCGTGATCCACCCGCCTCGACCTCCCAAAGTGCTGGGCTTACAGGCGTGAGCCACCACACCTGGCCTGAGAGATTTTCCTTGAAAGAAAGAGTCAATAGATGTGGCAAACTTCATTGTTGTCTCATTTTTAAAGATTGACACAACCACCCCAACCTTCAGCAAACATCATCCTGATCAGTCAGTAGCCATCAACACTGAGGCAAGAGCATCCACTAGCAAAAAGATTATTACTCAGTGAAGTCTTATGTCATTGTTTGTATTTTTTAGCAACAAAGTATTTTAAAATTAAGGTACTTTTTTTTTTTTTTTTTAGAAATAATACTATTGCACACTTACAGTATGTTGTACGCATACTGTAAGCATTGGGAAACCAGAAAATTTGTGTGACTCACTTTATTGTGATCTTTGCTGAATTGTGGTGGTCTGGAACTGTACCCACAATATTTCCAAGATATGCCTGTATATCCTTTTCTATTATATTTAACCTATGTAAGAAGAGAAATCAGAAATCAGGGTATTATGGATATGAGGAACCATAAAATAATGTGAGCATCAATGGAATAGTGTTTTGAAAATTTGGTAAGTAACCACTAACGGGAAGGAGCTAAAACAATGCAACTGGCATCAAAAAGGAATATTTGAAATATTGCTCACAGAAAGTGTGCAGCTATTGGCAATGTCAGGTCTTGGGTGTAACCATGGAAATGGTGGATGAGGTGGGGTCCTAGGCGAGTTGTCGGATGAGAGATGTCTTATTAGTTAGATATGCTAGGCTGTGGCTGTAAACACAACCAAAAAAATACCTCACGTCTCTGTTACCAAACTGCGTTTCTAGTTGGTGGCCAATTTTCTGCCAATAAATGATTCAGGAACCCAGACTCCACCTACCTTTTAAATTTTTTCAAACCCTTATTTTTCTTACATCCTATAGGCAGGAGAGTGAAGAGGGCATAGAGGAGGCCAACTAACTTTTAAAAGCCTTGATCCTAAAGTGGCACAGATCAGCTTTGATCACATTTTGTTAGTGAGAACTAGTAATATGACTATACCTTAATAAAAAATTGGAGAAAGATTCTGTGACATGCGGTCTTCATTTAGCTTGAAATTTTATTCATGGAAGGACAGAATGGGTTTTAGTTGCCATTTCTTTGTCTTTGCCATGGTAGGGCCTAGGAAGAAGGATTAAAAGGATCATGTACATTAGTATAGAAATCAGTAAAACATGTGACAGAGGTAGTGTTGAGGAAAGAGACTTTGGTCAGGAGCCAAAGAGAATGAAATGAGTGTTCTAAGAAGTGATAGATGAGTGTTGTAAGGAGGAATAGTGTGTAGTAGGGTCTGATGACACAATAAACAAAAGTGGGTGTTTGTGGGATTTGAGAGCAAGAATCATCTGGAAGAGAATATGAGGAACAGTGAGGATGTGAACCATGTCTTCTAACCTTGGTGTTGTGAGGGGCATGGGAGAGAAAACAGCCACTACCTGTGCCTGCAGCAGGAGCAATGTTTTAGGGAAGATTTGGACTTTTTTGGACAAGAAAGCAAAGGAAGCTTTCACAAAAGAATTTGAGGCCACAACAGATTTTGCTATTGATGGAATTGAAATTCCAGAGTACAGAGTGGAAGAGTTGAGGAGATGAGGAGTGTCAGAAGGTAGAAGGAAAGTCAACCTGCCCAGTTATATGAGGGTTAGGGTCCCAGGAGATGAAGGACCAAAGCATGTTCAGGATCTAACCTATTTTATGACCTCACTTTTACCAATCCCAGCCAAGCCACTATAATCTGGTGCTTGAATTATTGCTTTGGTTTTCTATCTGGTAATCACTAGTGTTTTAAAAACACACCAGATTATTTTGCTCCTCTGGAAAAAAATAGTAAGAAAATCCTTACAATGGACACAAAGTCCTTTAAACTCACAACTTTGCACTCTTCTTCTCCCTACCCTTTCTTCTTCTCCTTCTCTTTCTTCTTTTTCTCCTTTGCCTCCTCCTCCTCTTCCTTATTCAACTTCTTTTTCTTCTCCTTCTCCTCCTCCTCCTTCTTCTTCCTCTTCCTCTTCCCCACCATCCTCCTCCTCCTCTTCCTCCTCCTCCTCTTCCTCTTTCTCTTCTTCTTCTTCCCCACCATCCTCCTCCTCCTCTTCCTCCTCCTCCTCTTCCTCTTTCTCTTCTTCTCCTTCTCCTTATTCTCCTTCTCCTTATTGTCCTTCTTCTTCTTTGTTGAGACAGGGACTCACTCTGTCGCCCAGGCTGGAGTGCAGTGGTGCGATCACAGCTCACTGCAGCCTCAAACTCCCTGGTCTCAGGTGATCCTCCCACCTCAGCCTCTGGAGTAGCTGGGACTTTACAGATGTGCCACCATTCCTGGATAATGTTTTAAAAATTTTTTTATTGAGAGATGGGCTGGTTTAGAACTCCTGGGCTCAAGCCATGTGGCTGCTTTGGCCTCTCAAAGTGCTGGTATTACAGGTGTGAACCACTGCACTCAGCCTCAACAATCTTCTTTTTGATCACTCTGTACCTAGTCGTACTGGCTTTTTGTTTCTCTCCTGCACCAATTCAGGACCATTGTGCTTGCTGTCCCCTCCTCATGTGTTTTTCTCACATGCACATGGTGAAAAACTTTTGAGACTCTGCTTAAATATTATTTTATTTAAAAAGTCTTCTCTACCAATCTTATAAAATGAAATATTAATTGCATGGACCTTGTTATTTCCCACGTTGCTTTATTCCTCTTCATAACACTTATCACTCTATTACCCATTTATATGTGTGTTTGTTTTTTCTAACTCTTCCTACAAGAATATCGTCTTCATGAGTATGGGAACTTTGTATTTTCGCTGCTGTTACACCAGCTTCTATAATGGTGCTTTGCACATAGATGACACTCAATAAACTTTCTTTTAATACATAGATGAAATAATCCAGTTGAAGTACTTGAAGCATAATGTGGGTGGAAGATAGAACACAGAGTTGGTAGACCACACTAGCTAGAAGATCAGGGCCATGATTCCAAGACTTGCAATGAAAACATAAGCTAACTTAAATTCCTGCACCCTACTGATGTATGTAGTAAGATTTACCTAGAAGATCTGCAGGTATTAGCAGGCCTGAAATTTTTAAGTGAATGTAGATGGATAAACTGACATTTTTTAAGTTGAATTATTATTCTTACAGCATGTCCCGCTGAAGACCATTTGTAAGGTTTTCATGTGCTGGCTCATTACAAATTTAATGATGTGAAGAAAATGTATTTAGCATCTGATGATTTTTCTCAGTTTGAAGAGAGAGAAGATGTTGTGAAATAATATTAGTGAATGGCATCTCAAGTTTGCTAGATAAAAATAGTAAAGTTCCTGCAAATCTTGAGCGTACCTTTGAGGTTTTTGATTATTAATTCAGAGTTCAAACTAGGGAGCCTGGTTGGGTGATTTCCCTCTAGCATGTTTCATGGATTAAGGCATGGAGGAGAGAGCTATTTGGTTTATCTAGAGCTAGAGTCTTACCAGTTAAGTACCAAGGACAGAGGGATAGGCAAGGAAGCTGAGGTCCTTTGTGAGCAAGTGGTTATAGAAATGGACTAGGGTGATTAAGATGAAAAGGATAAAAGTGAAAAATGAGGAAGCTAATATATAGTGAGCATTCAAACTTGTATTTACCTCCCAGACCCATGTTTTTTCTGCCGTTAACCATGGCCTCAAAGAAAGTATCTACTGACAATCTTTGTGTTTTAGCCCTTCACAAATTATTAAAAATGTAGTTTTATAAATGTGAAATGTTCAAAGCGTAACTTATTAAGTTTATAATATATTTTAATATAAGTTTATAATATATTTTATGTTCATTTCTAACTTCTTGATATAGAAGATAAGTAAAATATGCGCCAACCATCAATGAGCCCATAGCCTGATGGGTAAGACAGACATGTAAAGGAATTACCAAAACATCTTAAGCACCTTTGATAGAATGCAGAGAAAGAAGAATGATCACAATACCCCCTCTGATCAATAGCCAGCTTTATAAATGCATAGTACTGTTAAATGAATGCATGATTTCAATAAGGGTATGCATGGAAAAATCTTGCAGACATTTATTATTCATTTATTTGATTCAAGAAAGATTAGGACTGGCTTAAAAGTACTGACATTTAAAACCTGAAAAGCGCTGTTATCAACTTGAATGTCACTTGGCCTGACCCCCAGGATTTTTTATACTTGTAAAAATTTCTGACTTCCAGAACACATAAAAAACTTCTAAAAAGAGAGCAAATATTTAACCAGTTTTTCTTCCTTTGTGCCTCTACTCAAATCTAAAGAAAATAATACAGAGAATAATACAGAGGTGATTGTTTGAAGTTTCCTGCTGATTTCACACATCATTTCTTATTAAGTATTAGAATATATTCTGTGTCCGCATGGCATTATTACAGATATCCCTGCTATAGGGGTTACATGAAATAACGTATAAAATATTCTTAGCCCAGTTCTGGAAAAAGGAAAGCAGTCAATGCTTGTCAGCTCTACAGCGACATATTGCTGACATCTTATAATTACTGTTTTCCAGGATTTTTTTAAATTTCTTTTTTCTCTACCTATTTACTCTACACTCTCCTTAGACAATTTTATCCACTGATATAAATTTTATTATTGTCTATATGCTAACAATTCCAGAGCCTGTATCAAGACTAAGAACAAAGTGAAATCTCAAGAAAAGTCTAGGCTTGATATATTTATTTGGGAATTATTGGCATATTGATAATGTATAGACAGTGATTAAAGATATGGTGAACTTGAAATGTCATTGAAACATGTAAATGGAAATAACTGGTAAGCATATCATTAATCAAACTAGAAAAAAATTCTCTGCGACCTTCTGAAGTTCCAGTTCTTCCTATCTTAGGAAATGCCTTCACTATCTACTTAGCCACTGATTCTGGAAACTAGAGGTTGTATTCTAGTTTTTAAATTTCTGTTACCTAGTGTAGGACCTGAGCCGATTAATCATGAAGGCATCTATGTAAAATAGAATTCATCCAATTCTTTCTTTCCTCACTATTACTACCTTGATCTAATTCATATTGCCTCTTTGTTCTCTTATAGTAGTAGCCCTCGAATCAGCCTCACGGTAGCCACTCTCAAATAAACTGTATCCTTGAAAATGTTAGGCACCACATGTATGCTATCTTTGCCAAATTATCAACATGTCTTTTGGGGTTAAACCTGAGAACTGAAGATGTTAAGAAAATGTCAGTAGAAATGTAGGAAGATTGCTTATTGGATATATGTGTCAGAAACCATGCTCATTGTTTAGGTCTAAATTTGATTTGTAGTTTTTAGAATTTAAATGTTCTTTGAATTTTCAAAGTATCAGGGGCTTAACTTTGAGCTCTGTCTCTGGCTAGTCCTTGGGACTCCATTCAATATCTTCCATCTGTTATATATAATTTGTTCACATAATTGTTGCAGGAATATCAGAAATCTAAATCATGGGAGTAATTTTATAGGGTCCTATATGATAATAAAAATAGTAACTATCATTACAGAAAAACTCTAGAATATGCAACAAATTTTACATGCAGAAATTCTAAGTATTACTACAACCGTGCAAGTTAGGTGTTTTGGGTGGTATATTTTGAGGCATTATCATGTTTTAAAATCTGTGTATTCTCCCCCTCCCCTCCCACTTCCCAATCCTGCCATTTCATATGAGTAAATGGTCAGACTTGTGCTTGTTTTGAGTGAGTTTTGAAACAAGGTAGAATGCAGAAGGCTCTTGCAAGTCTTTTTAAACTCTAGAGACATGAGAAGATTGAGACATAGATAAAATATCTTAACCATAAACACAAAGGCAGAAGGATTTCACTGAAACTAGAAAGTTTTCCCAGCTTGACATGAAGGGAGATGGTGACATTGGAGATGGGGATTTCAAAGCACAAGTGACATGTCCTCAGCTTCCAGCAGAGAAGCCAAAAGGCCAGCGATATTCCAGAGGGGAAATGGTTACAAGAGTCATTTAAGGGTGGGTGTGGTGGCTCATGCCTGTAATCCCAGCACTTTGAGAGGAAGAGGCAGGCGGATCACTTCAGGTCAGGAGTTCGAGACCAGCCTGGCTAACATGATGAAACCCCATCTCTACTAAAAATACAAAAATTAGCCAGGACTTGTGGTGAACACCTGCAATTTCAACTACTTGGGAGGCTGAGGCAGGAGAATCACTTGAACCCGGGAGGCGGAGGTTGCAGTGAGCCAACATCGCACTACTGTACTCCAGTCTGGGTGACAAGAGCGAACCTCTGTCAAAAAAAAAAAAAAAAATATTAGCTGAGTGTGGTGGTGTGCACCTGTGATTCTAGCCACTCTAGAGGTTGAGGCAGGAGAATCGCTTGAACCCAGGAGGCGGAGGTTGCAGTGAGCCGAGATCACGCCACTGCACTCCAGCCTGGGCAACAGTGAGACTCTATCTCAAGAAAAAAAAAAAAAGAGTGATTTAAGCAAGCAGAACAACTGGTGACCTCAAGGAAGATCTCAGAACCCCATGTAGAACTTGGACTCATTCAAGCTCATCCCGGTCCTCAGGGTCATGATGATGAGAAGAAGGACAGTGCCTGTCAGGATAAATGACTCTTGTACTGTAAGGTATCTGCCTCAGAACTGTACAGGATTCTAAAATAGAAGCACAGATTCTGAGGAAGGGATAGACCTCTCTCCCAACCCCACCTAAAGTCTCTAAAAAAATAAGATTGGGCCTGCCCAGAATTATAACTTTTTCTTGACTTTCTGTTTCTTATAATGATAAGGAAAATTGCTGAAAATACCAGAGATATTTAGAGGATATATTTAATTGAATTGAATTAAACAATGGAGTAATTTAGAGATCTAATTACTTCATTCTCATATAACAATGCCCTGTGGCTATAAATGTATCTGTTTTTCAGGCATTATGTATTTTCTGGATCCTCGTGTGAATCAAACTCTTATCTAATTGAAAGTACACTGGAATTGGATATAGTAAAGAAAAGTAATTTTTCGTAATTCCTTTCTGTCATGAATTTAGCAAGTAAAGTTTGTTTTGCATTTTAAGGAATAAAATTGCAGCAGCTGACACTCATTGCAGTACATTCTAAAGCCTAATTTATGGTTTGCCTATAAATTTCCATGCTAATGTATTTCCATTGTTATATTTTTGCTTACAAGGATTTTAGTGTCACATTATTTAATTGAAGTCAAATGATGTTATTTACCTTTTAGTGATGCAGAAAAAAATGCATTTGCAAGCTACTATTATTCAAATTGAATTTTCTTGTAGAATGCTGGATGTCTTGAGTGCAGAAAATTTCAGATATAAATTTAAAACAAGTGCTAAATTGTGACATCTACTCTATAAAACCAATAATAGACATGATATGGGAGCTGAGATTGTAATTGATTATGTGCAAGACATTTGTTGAATCATCAAATAACACGAGATTTCAATAAATGATTCTAAATATAAAAAGTGCAATATCTGGTATCTATAAACATTATAATCACTTTGTATAACATATTTAGTTAAACGACTGAATGAATATGAAGACAATAACATTCCATAATGTTCTGTAGCTTCAGCAGCATCATACGATTACTTTGGGGTTTTTTAATTACTAGAATGTATATTTTAGAAAATAATTCAGAAACTCACCTATACATTTAGCATTCTGGAGGAGGTGCTTATGACTGACTCTTTGAGTTACTAGTATATGAAAAACAGATGTAGAATTATTTCCAATTGAACTGACGTCTGATGCCATTCTGAAACTTATGAGTGACTGAGGAATTTGGTAAACATTCATGTACACTTCTTGCTTTTTCAACTGGATGAACATCATTTTCTGTGTCTTTAGGCTGAAGTGGCTACCTTCGTTCTGAGTTAGAAGGTTACTGCCAAACCCAATACAATTGAGGAAACAAGTGGAATATATGTTTTTGTGTGTGTGTGTGTCAAGGTCCATATTTCTTTATCTTCTCATAAAAACAAATAGACTGATTTGGTGCCACATATGGACCAAAATAGCTTTATGAGAACTCAGGAATCCAGATAAGAGGTTACAATGCTCCGGGATCGCACAAAACCAAGAATAATCACATTAAAATGATAAGAAGAGCAGTTTCTAATCACCCACTCCCTCAAGCCAGCACACCCTAGTACTGAGGGAGATTCCCTCAACCTGTGATTTCTCCCATCAGGGAAAGGGAATCAGTGGGCATCTAACATCCGCAGGCTTTTGGGGCACCGCTCAAAAGACCTGCTTTTGTCTTATCACACTCAGAGTGCTAAGGGAATCTAGCATAGTTAGAATGCCTGGGGGAAGCTAAGAACAAAGAAAAGGGGTAAGTGGCTCTCAGCAGCTGGTGCAGATGTTAACAGCCATTGTGGCTCTCAGCAGCTGACTTGAATCTCAATTGACAGAGTGGATCTTATCTGATGGGGCATATATCCATAGCATATGCAGCTCTCAAGCTGATGGCACAGATCTTAGCAGATGGCATGGATCTTAGCAGCCAGCACATGGAGCTCTCAGCTGGATGTGTAGACCTCAGAAGCTGGCTTAGTTCAGTAGGATTGGGAGAAGGTACATAATTCTAAAACTTCTTGTTTAGGCAGGAGGGAAAGAAGTGTAACTTATACTCAATGTCCCAACATTTTATTGAGCTGCCCAAGGAAAAAGGAGCCTGTGGCTTTCGGCACCTGGCATGGATCTGAGGGATTAGGAGAAGATGCACAATCTTGAGATTTCTCCCCAGCAGGTAGGGAGAAGGGTAAAGTGTGCAAATACATATAAAAGATTTTGGAAACTTCCAGATACACTAGCAGGGTTAATTGAGGAGGTCTTTCCCTACCAAAGCAAGGCCTGTAAAGGCTGGACAAAGTGGATATACTTCAAATGCACAAATAGCTACTGAAATCTGAAGTAAAACAAAGAATCAGGGAAACATGACACTACAAAAAAAACAAAAAACAAAAAACAAAAAAAAAAAACCCACAGTAAATCTCTGGTAACAGACCTTAAGGAAATGGAGACCTATGAACTGACTGACAAAAAATTCTAAATAATTATCTTAAAGAAACAGAAACTCTGGAGCTGAAGAGTACATACAATAACTGAGCTGAAAAATATAGATATTCAGCAGGAGACCTGATCAAGGAGAAGAAATAATCTCCAAACCTGAAGACAAGTAATTTGGAATTATCAAGTTAGAGGAACAAAAAGAAAAAAAAGGGGAAGAGTGGAGAAAGCCCACGGGCCCTCTGGGACATCATTAGGACAACAAATAAGCACATTATGAAAGTTCCAGAATAAGAAGAGGGAAAAGGGCAGAAAGCTCATTTAAAGAAATAATGGCTGAAAACATCTCAAATCTGGGGAGAGAAATGGACACCTAGATTCGTTAAGCTCAAACTATCCCAAATCAGATGAATCTAAAGATATTGACACCAAAAGAAGACACATATTATAATCAAATTGTCAAAAGTCAAGGGCACAGAGAATTTTGCAAGCAGCTAGAGAAAAATCACTTATTACTTATCAACAGGGTATCAAGAATATGCAATGGGGAAATGACAGTCTCTTCAACAAACGGTTTTGAGAATACTAGGTATCTACATACGAAAGAATGAAATTGGGCTACTACCTTACACGATTTAGAAAAATCAAAGTGGATTAAAGACTTAAAGATAAGATCTAAAATCATAAAACTCAGGAGGAAACATAAGGGAAAAGCTTTATGATACTGGGTTTGACAATGATTTCCTGGATATGATACAAAAAGCACAGGCAACAAAGCAAAAACAGAGAAATCGGACTACCTCAAACTAAAAAGCTTCTGCATAGCAAAGCAAAGAAGTAGCAGAGTAAAAAGGAGCCTATGTAATGGGAGAAAGTATTTGCAAACCACTTATCTGATGATGGGTTAATATTCAAACTATGTAAGAAACTCCTACAATTTAACAGCCAAAAAAAAAAAAAAAAGAATAACATGACTACAAATGGGCAAAAGAGTTAAATAGACATTTCTCCAAAGAGGGCATACACGTGGGCATTAGGTATATGAAAAGGTGCTCAGTATCACTGATCATCAGGGAAATACGAGTCAAAACCACAATGAGATATCACCTCACAGCTGTATGGGATGACTAGTTTCAAACAAAAGATGACACGTTTAATGAGGATGTGGCGAAGTTTGAACGCTTGTACACTATTGGTGGGAATTTAAAATTATGCAGCTACTATGGGAAACAGTATGAAAAGTCCTCAAAAAAATTAAAGATAAAAATACTATATAGTCCAGTGGGAACTACTGGGGAGGGGAGGTGGGGGCAAAGGGTTGAAAAACTATCTATTGGGTGCTATGTTCACTATCTGGGTGGTGGGAACATTCCTACCCCAAACCTCAGCATCACACAATATAACCACGCAACAAACCTGCACATTTTACCCCTTGAATCTAAAATAAATGTTGAAATTATCAAATAAGAAGAAATACCATATAATCTGGAAATCCCACTTCTGAGTATATGTATTTAAAAAACTGAAATCAAAATTTTGAAGAGCTGTCTGCACTGCTATATTCATTGCTGCATTGTTCATAATATCCAGTGTATGAAAGCAGCCCACGTGTCTATCCAAAGATGACTGGATTAAAAGGCAGCATATAATACATACAATAGAATATAGTTTAGCCTTAAAAGAGATCTCTGCCATTTGTGACAATGTGGATGAACCAGAAGGACAGTCCGTTATGTAAAAATAAGCCAGTCTCAGAAAGACAAATATTGTATGATTCTATTCATATGAGTTATCTCAACTGGTCATTCTCATGAAAGCAGATAATAGAATGCTGGCTGCCAAGGGCCTGGATGAGGAGCAAATGGGGAGTTGTTGATGCGTGTAAAGTTTCAGTTATGTGAGATAAACAACAGAATCTAGAGATCTGTTGTACAATGTAGCACCTATAGTGAACAACATGATATTGTGCAGTTAGAAATTCATTAAAAGAATAGATGTCATGATAGGCATTCTTACCATACCAAAAAACAAAAAAAGGGGGGGACACAAGTAAACTTTAGACCTGATGATATATTTATTACCTCGAATATCATGAGTAATGCATATGTCCAAAGTCATCAAATTGTATCCATTAAACATGTTCAGTCTTTTGGTATATCGGTTAAACCCCAGTAAAGTTGTTAAAAACAGAAGTAAAAATAAAATTCCTAGCAGAATTTTTTGTAATAGAAAATAAGACAAACTACATAATTGTAATGTATAGAGGAATAGTTAAACTGTGGCATTATCCAGCTGTAGAATATTTAGCAACTGTGGAAATGAATGAGCTAGAGTTACCATAATCAGCATGTTTGAGGTGGAAAAGTTGTAGACAAATGCATACTATGTAGCGTACATGTATATTGCATAAAGTTTAAACCATGGAAAATAAAAACTCATTATTTGAGAACCAAACAGAGGTCTATAGTTGCATTGGAACAAGAAGCAGCAGATTCAAAATAGTGGATCCCTTTGCAGGAAGAAAGTGAGGATTTGTTTTTTAAGGTGATAGATAAAAGCAGCGATATATGCCATATTATATTTATGCTTCTTGTCTGTCTAAAATATTTCATAATAAAACATTAACACCTTGAAAATAACTAAAAGATCACTGTGATAGAGTGATTATTATAAGCACAGATCTGGAGTCTCAGAGAGCAGGGTTCAAATATAAGTTTCAGTATTTACTAATTATCTGTGTGACTTTGGCTGCTAAGATGCTTTGAGCTTTATTTATTTATTTATTTATTTTAGTTTGTAAATTGAAGCTTAAAAAGTTGTTTTGAGGCTCACTGAGATGTGCTAAGACACCTGGCATAGCTCTTCCCAGCTAGCAGAGCCTCAACAATGGATACCCGTCCCTGTGTTTCACATTAATGCATGGGCTGTGAGAAAAAGGCTTTGAAGACTTTTTGAATAGGAGGGAAAAAAGTAAATCAAAGATGTGGTTGAACAAGATTCAAGATAAGATTGCTTCCTTGTGATTTTATCTATAACCAACCCTTGTCTTAATGTATAGAAGATAAATATTTTTGGAAAATAAATAAAGAACAATGCCAAAATTAAAATATACAAACTTTCAGTTTGTAAAAAGAAAAAAAAAGTTTTTAACAAAGAATTAAGTCTCTGAATGATTTACTGAGGGAGGTTGTAAGGAATGTATAATGTATGTATACATACATGTATGTATGCATAATGTATGCACGTGTCTATCAGTCTTTAATGAACAAATGCTGCTCATTTGATTGTTGACATATTTAGAAATAAGTTGATATTCCAAGATATCACTTGGCATTTTTCTGTTTTGTAGGAATGTACCCAGGTAGATAAGGGAAGTCAAAATATATAAATACACCTAGGTAGATTAGGGAAGTCAGAATTATCTACCATGAGGCAATGCCTATAAAAGATTATTTCTTCCCCCTTGGACGTTTAGCAAAAGGCTGATTGAACATATTCAGACATGCGTTAAAAGCAAACCATAGTGACTCAATAGAGAAAACACTATACAGACGGATTTAAATATTGTATTTCCCATTCAAATGTTTACCTTTACATGTGTTATATCTATAGGTTTGCATTTGTTACTTTTAGTATCTCAATTTTCATTCAGTAATTTTTGCTGCGTTATTCTCTTTGTCCTTTGGAATATAGAAATGGAGACGTTGCTATTAAAAACTTAGAATTATTTTTTAGTCAAAGTTTTGAATATCAAATAGCAATCAGAAATTTCAATTTGCTTCTTAAGGTTTTCTTTATTTTTCCAAATAAGTATTTATTGCTTTAATAATTAAGAGATTAAATATGAACAAACCTGCACGTTCTGTACATGTATCTCAGAACTTAAAGTATAATAAATAAATAAATAAATACGAAAAAATGAAATCGAATATGGTATTTTAAAATTTTAAAAACCAAAGTTATAAATGACAATCTACAATCAAACAGTAAATGAAAGTGAGAATTTTGGGAACTTCAATTACACTTTGAAAATACGTGCTCATTTCGAAATCAATGTTCCTGACATTGTGAAAAATTCTTGATTTAATTATATTTTAAATTTAACAATTCAGTAAAAAACAAAGTGGTATTTATCACTCTGTGCTAAGACTACAAGGGGTACTGCTTTTCATCCATTATAATTTTCTACTTTTAAATAACAAACATAATTATTTGTTAAAATTTGTATTAAAAATAAACCATGCAAAAATATGCATGGTTTATGTCAGAAGACTATAATAAACTATAAAAGGTTTACTAAAAAGTGCTTTATATGACATAACAATTTAAAGGAAGAGCATTTGGGTTCCTATGTCACAACTAACCAAGATTTTATAAAACTGTATATCATAAGGAAAAGGCAGTGATGATCAACAAAAATGTGGAAGCTTTACATATGTAAGAACATTTATAATCTTCAATTGCATATGAAATTATTCTATTCATAGTTTACTACTGACTACTTTCTAAATTGCAGAATTACTAATTAATTTGAAAACATTTTAAGTAGCAGTACTTTTTATTTGCCAATCAGGCTATTATTAGTTATATATATATATATATATATGTTAATAACATGGATATAAAATATTATTTGTTGTGGCAGGCAAAAATATGATACAGTTTATTTATTGGCTGTATGTTAATTGCATTCTTTTTTCTTGTTGTAAACTGAAAATTTGAGATCTCATTGATCTCATGACTATGGGATAATAATTTCAACAAAGTAAAATTTATATAGTAACATAATAGAATTATTGTTTTCAGTAGCTTATCATTTATGTGGTGAACTTAAACACAGCCAGTCTGGTTTATTACCCATGATTATAGTGTGCATCAGATTTGGAGCGCTTTTTGAATGGGATATTATCTGAAGTTGAGGTGAATAATGAGCAATTCTTTAACCGTTCTTTGTTTACATTTTTATACAAGTTAATTTTTGAATAAGACCTTCTACCTTAATATGTAGTAATTTCAGTGAAAACGATTTTGGGTTATGTGTTCTCTAAATTATAGATATTATAATTATGAACACCATATATGCTGGTTATATACATCTACATGTTATAATTATAAACATTCTGGTCGATACAGCAAAGCCTGTAGTGTTAATTGGAAATGGTCTTCCCTAGTGAGATTTCGTAGAAGACAGAAAGCTTCTGTTCCCCATCCAGAGCCCTACAATACCTCCACCTGTGTCAAGGTACTTTACTTTTTCTACCCTCAGGGGAGCCACTGCCTGCAGTTAATGGTGTGTGAAATGAAAATCAAGACTTTTTGGTTTTGGAATTAGGCACTTGATTCTTCTTCTTTACTCCTACTGATATTGACAGCCTTTCCTAGGACCGTCTCCAACGAGACCCTGACAGCTCAGCGATCTGAATGTTTCGATACTCTGTTTCACTTTACTTCTCCACATTCTAACACATTTTCAACAACCTCAACACCAAAAAGAATCTCCCCAAGCATAGAAATAATGGCATTCCTATGCTATCTACAACAAATAATTAGCGATATAAATTGGGTTCAATCTGAATGTCCTTTAATTAAATGGATTAAGTACTTACAAAACATAGTTATTTTATAATACAGGCCTATTCAAGACCGTTCTTGGATGTGTAGTTGCAGTGTTTCTTATACAATATATTCAACCATTTATTTGTTCATTTCGTAAGACTCACCCATAAACTATTATGATAAATTATCATGGCAGGCACTTAGAATGCAGAGGAGTACACAGGACTAAACGTATCATTAGACAGCAGGCAGGACAGCCACTAGTTATAAAACATCGTGCCAAATTCTCACAGACTTAGGTAACAAGTGATGTGGAAGCATGAAAAAGGAATGATCAAGTATGTTTGGGAAGTCAGAGAAAAATTCACAGTGTGTCTCATTGAGTGTTCAGTGGAGGTGGGGGGGCAATGTGTGAACTTAGTCCATGTGCGTGACATATTTTTAAGGTGAACAATGAAATTGTAGACTCGAAGAAATATGTTTTTTAAAAGAGATGGATCTCCCTGTGGTGCTCAGGCTGGCCTTGAGCTCCTGGGCTTGAGCAATCCTCAAATCTCAGCCTCTAGAGGAGCTGGGATTACAGGCAGGTCCACCACGCCTGGCAAGAAGTATGATTTATAGCATTAGGATATAGTGGTTAAGAACCTGTAGTGAGGAGTTTGAAGAATGAAATTTGAACCTCAGTTTCCTTATTTAATATTTTGACAAGTTACTTTCTCTGATGATAAGTAGAAACAAAAGTAATATATATTTAATAAATTTCTAGGGAAAATCAAGTGACCTACTCACAAAATAGCAGCATTCTGGTGCATGATAAACAATCAACAAGTAATAGCTAATAACTATATTTTACATAAAGTTGAGGGCCTATAAGAATCATTTAGATATTAAAATGAATGATTAGAGAAATAAAGAGATACGTTTTCTTCATCAATGATAGACTGGATAAAGAAAAATGTGGCACATATACATCATGGAATACTATGCAGCCATGAAAAAGGATGAGTTCACTTCCTTTGCAAGGACATGGATGAAGCTAGAAATCATTCTCAGCAAACTAACACAGGAACAGAAAACCAAACACCGCATGTTCTCATTCGTAAGTGGAAGCTGAACAATGAGAACACATGGGCACAGAGAGGAAAACATCACACACTGGGGCCTATTGGGGGGTGGAGGACTAGGGGAGGGACAGCATTAGGAGAAATACCGAACGTAGATGGCGTGTTGACGGGTGCAGCAAAACACCACAGCACGTGTATACCTATGTAACAAAACTGCACCTGCTGCACATGTATCCCAGAACTTAAGTGTAATAATAAAAAAAAATTGAATATAACTTATAGTAGAATAAAAAAATAGAATGAAATGTCTATAGTCCATTACAGAAATTCAACAATAACAGAATAATATAATTCATATAGAAAAGTTAAAAAATTTAATTGAAAATCAAATTCTTAAAACGTTATACAAGTATATAAAAGAATGAAGCTCATATATAGCAATCAGCTGGTAGTGTAATCCCAGCACTTTGGGAGGCTGAGCAGGCCGATCTCAAGCAAGGAGCTTGAGACCAGCCTGGCCAACATGTCGGTGAAACCCTGTCTCTACCAAGAATACAAAAATTACTCGAGCATGGAGGCGCACTCCTGTAATCCCAGCTACTCAGGAGGCGGAAGCAGGAGAATCACTAGAACCCAGGAGGCGGAGGTTGCAGTGAGATGAGATTGTGCCACTGCACTGCAGCCTGGGTGACAGAGTGAGACTCTGCATAAAATATCTATACCTATATCTATCATAATATATCATAAATATATATCACAAATATATATGTACACATATATCATATATATGCACACATATATATCTATCATATATACATATCATATATATTCTAGAATAATTCATAGAAAATACTTTGGGAGAGGAAAAGACTTGAGTGATATATCATAATGTTTTGGTGTTTATGTCTAGTGGTGATATGGATGACTTATCTTCTCCTTTGTGATTGTCTATACTTTTGCATCTTTCTACAGTTGTCATAAATTATTTTTATTATTTGTAAAACCATATACAATCATATATTTAAGTGACCTTTCATTTTCCTCTTGGTTTCCTTATTCTTGTCAAATCCATCCACCTGAATTTGTTTTCCTATTAAGTTGAATTCCTTTTCAGTACTATGCATAAATCCATCCCTAGTTAGGAACAGATGTTTGTGTGTGTGTATGTGTGTACATATGAACATGAATTTCTAGTGTTAAAGAAAAGTCATCTAACCAAAAAGGAGTTTGTGCTAGGTGCTGTTTTATTTTGCTATTGGAAAGATGAGTTTTGGTGATGTACTTAATGTACAGCATGATCAAACTGTTGTCTTTTGATGAGTTATTACTATAATGTATCATCAAAGCCTCATGGCTTTGATAGAGTATACTAACATGTTTTTTGAACAAAAGAAGTTTGATGATTTATTAAAATAATGCTATTCTACTGTTTAAAAGCTGCTTAAAAAGGTAAACAAAACATGCTTAAAGACTAAGAGAGAAAATAAATAAAACTCACTAAACTTTAAACTCACTAAAAATATAAGAAGAGATACTTATTTTTTATTATTAAACAATGTCAAAGCGAAATTCTTGAAACCTTTAGTGAATCAGGATAACCTCTTATCTTCTTGTAAGGAGTTTGTGTTTTGTTCTGGTCTTCTTAAAAAAACAGAATGCACATTGTAATCATATAATATTTGACAATGCATAAAATGTATATGCTGATTTTGCCTTCATTCAGAAATTTAGATCTTTTATTCTCCTAAAAATATATAGAAATTTTACATTGTAATCTTGGTTGTTGGGTGAGCATGGAAAGAAATGTAATCATGTCATATTCAATGAATGATTTTGTGGCTATGTTTCATTTATCATCTCCACTGAAGCATCGTATGAATATGCATAATCTCGCTTTCTTTACTGAGCCTTTACAGTGTAATTTCACAAGTAAATGATAAATGCTGTATTTAGATGGTTGGCTGGATTCCCAGCTTTGTTTTGCATTATTCTTTTGTTTTCTGAAATTCAAGGGCAATACAGATTGATTGATTTTTTTTAGATATGCTTTGCCTTTTATATAATTAATTTACAATGTGTGATTTCTAATGTCTTTAGTGAATGAAATAATAATCTCAATTATTTTGCTTTTGATTTTACTGACAATCTAGAATATACTTCATATATTAACTTATTCATAAAATTATTTTTTGTGTGTGGTTAATAGTAAAATATTTGTTGAGGTGTTTTGTGCTATGTGCAATGACAACTACTTAACTTGAATTCACCATAATCCTATACCACAGTGACATTTCTTTTCCTTCTGTTTGGATTTTAGAAAACTGAAGCCTACCCAGAGGGTAAATATTGAGTCAGGATCTAAACACAGTTGGACTTTACAGCTCTCAGGATCGTAACACCTAACTTCTTCCAAAAAGTGAAATGACTTTACTTCTAATTTCCTCCATTCATCCAATACCATTTGAAAATAGTGTCTGAGTGTATACTATTTTTCAAGCACTGTTCCTGGGAATCCAGGTACACAGTAAACTTTAGAGACAAAGTTCCTGATCTTAGTCCACTGTTCCAG
This sequence comes from Homo sapiens, assembly GCF_000001405.40. Lineage (NCBI taxonomy): Eukaryota > Metazoa > Chordata > Mammalia > Primates > Hominidae > Homo > Homo sapiens. Next base: position 16,467,784 of record NC_000008.11, on the reverse strand, counting down.
TAGGAAAAGACATCAACATCGGGCCAAATAGATAATAAAGAAATAAAAGTTAAGAAAGTCTTAAGCGTACCAAAAAACATAAAGCAATGTCCTGGGATAGAGGATGACTGGTGCGTGTTATGTTTGATATAATAATCAGGGAAAACAAAGTTACTATTTGTTAATGGATCTGAAGTTTGAGAAGCCAGACATAATACAAAGATCTAGTTGATGAATATTCTAGGCAGGGCGCAGATAATTAAATTTAGTTTAAATCTTTTCAGTGAGGAGAGGTGAAGAGCCTCTACTGAGTACCCATTTAAAATCCTACATGATTTGTAGGATTGGATCTAAGGAAGCACCAAGACTTAGCAGTTTTATGGGGAGGGGTGGGGGAGTAAGAGAGAGATTCCATAGGTCTTGTGAGTTCCCATTGGGTTAACATTCATCTTCTCTTGTACTTGAGAAATGAGAAGAAATGTGAATACTGTAAATGGAAAAACACTTAGGAAAGTTTTATAAGCATTTTGCTTCCTTATAGCTAAGAAAGGTAATTTGCGTACTTTGTGGCTTGGATGGTTTCTTTAAGACTCTCGCCAATAAACAGATTGGTGAACTGAAGCCCCTTTAAGGTAACCTCACATCCGAGCACAGAAACACAAGGCAGGAGACTCAGGCCTGGCTCCACCAGCCATTTCTGTCCTGTCCTTCTGTTATTAAAAAGTGATATTTTATCCATTCCTTCATCTTTCCCAAGACTCTGGTAACATTTTCCCCTGTTCCCTTATTTCTGAATTCTCTCTTTCTATCGTTAAGAAATAAAATAGCCCTACATTTCTCTTTTTTATCTTCAGTTTTTACACATTAATAAAAATACTGCAAAACATAAAATAGGAAGCGAATCATAGACACCACAGAATATTTTTTAAAGTAATTTAGAAAAAGTTTTCTCTATGATTTCTATAGGAAGATGTCAATTTGCCAAATTCCTGATTCTCTTTGTATCTGAGTCCTTGAAGACTTCAAACTTACATGATTAATTTATATAAATAAATGTATCCTTTAATATAGGTGAATAGAAAGATCATAGTGAAATTTTAATGTTTTTAATTTGTTCAGTGTAACTCTCACATTCTTTGTTATTGGGAAGTAAATTAGCTTGTCATCTCTTTGTTCTCTTATATATATTTTTTAATTTTCTTCAGCTTCCCAAGTTTTGCAGTTTTTTTTTTCAAGGAGTAGCTTAGCACCTAGATGTGTTGTAAGCATAAAAACAGAAAAAAATAGAAATGTTGATTATCTGAGTTTTAGGAAACAGAGAAAGGACTTTTCTAATGAGTCCTTAAATATAACATAAATCTTGTATTAAGTCACTTTTAAAATGGCAAGCTTTTAAGGCTAAAAATTATAAATAATTAAAGATGACTGATGTATAATTACAATTCCATTACATACTCTGAAACATTTTCATGGAGAAGATAGATGGTATAAATGACCAAGTAATTATTTTCTTTTAGAGAAGCAACTCCTAATTGAAAGGCTACTAGCAAATGAAAACGAAGAAATTTACTGTTTTTGATCAGGTAGTGTTTGGTGGATGCATGGGTACACTGCATCTTACAGAAGATGTGAAAGGGTAATAAAAAAACATGCTTATAAACTTTTAAAAAAATTAAAATTGAGCTGGCTGAAAAATATAACTTTTCTGAAAAAGTTTAATGTTCAAGTTTTGCCACACAACTTTTCAATTTAAGATATATCAAACAAACGATTATTTTCTATATTCATGACATGTCATTCATGTGCCAGGAAGTATATTGAATATAAAATCAGATACTTTTCTTGATATTAACTATATGACAGGGTTGTTATACTGATATGTCATCCTATTTTTACTGTTTTGCCTTGCTACTCTATCTCTGCACATATAAATTCTATTAAGTCATCAGAGAGTCCAACACACATCGAGAGAAGGGAAGTCAACCAAAAATTTAAACTGTCATTCAGTTTTTACAAGTGCATCCAACAAGTTATTTTTTTTTGGATTATAGAAAGCCCATCTACATCTCTTTATTTCTGGTATTCAATTCTCTGTACTTATGATCATTTTTTAATCTGAAAATATTTGAGTGTCTTAATGAGAGCCATGTTGTGATTCTCTTAAGTGAGACAACCACAGCTGGAGAGAAGTACCTGGTCTGCATTCAGCCCAGTTGGAAAAGACTTAACAGTTACATGATCATTACAAACAAATAGTACAGGAGCCATTGAAAGTCTTAGAATGTATTAAAAATTATATATATTACATATAATAAATATTGTATCTATTTTGGACCAAGGATGTGATTTCAGTTGGAAAATTGCATCTAGTTTTGTTCTGGGCATGTGCTTGAAGGACTTTGATAAGTTAGTATATACTAGGATCAGGAAAACTAGAAAAGAGAGGAGACATTGTGATTGCGGGCTTTTATTATGTTTCAGACTTTATTCTAGAAGTTCTCACATATGTTACCTCATTAAAATGCTAAGCCTTATTAAAGTGCTGTGATGGTAATGTTTAAATGCATTTTGCTTCAGGAAACTTGGAATGACATAAGTTAATTAATTTGACTAAAATCACCCTACTCCATCTTAGTAATTTCTCCTAAATACCTCAGCTCCTAATTCAAATATAGTTTGGCAGCTTCTACAGTTGACAGTGTAAATATTTAGCCACCAGAATAAGTCAGCAAACACTTGACCAAACTGCCCCTTCTTTCACTTCACCAAACCTAGCTGACATATTTGAAGTGGGGACCATTTGGAGTTTTGGCTGTCACGCTGTTTAGGGCACTCTTCATGAAGCGGCATCATTCATCTAGGGTAATACCTGAGGTTTCTTGCCTCACACGAAGAAAATCAAAGATGTGGACCCACAAGGAGTGACGTTAAGAGTGGAGGTTTAATAGGTGAGAAAAAGAGAAAAGCTCTCTCTCCTGCAGAGAGAGAGAGAGGCTCCCAAGTGGGTCTTCTGGTTCCCTGGTGAAATACATGGGGTTTTATAGACAAGCTTGAGGAGGTGGTGTCTGATTAACATAGGGTCCAAAAGATTGGTTGGACCCATTACGTCATTTACATAATGCAAGAAGAAGCTGGTCATCCCACCCTTATCTTTTATTATGCTGATGGGTTCTTTCCTTGGCCAGTGGCCATGTCGGCTTTTTTTTTTTTTTTTGAGACAGAGTTGCCCTCTTGTTGCCCAGGCCAGAGTGCAATGGCACAATCTGTGATCATCGCAACCTCAGCCTCCTGGGTTCAAGCGATTCTCCTGCCTCAGCCTCCTGAGTAGCTGGGACTACAGGCTGTGTCACCCTGCCTGACTAATTTTGTGTTTTCAGTAGAAACGGGTTTTCTCCATATTGTTCAGGCTGGTCTCGAACTGCTGACCTCAGGTGATCCACCTGCCTCGGCCTCCCAAAGTGCTGTTATTACAGGCGTGAGCTATCACACCTGGCTTGTTGCCTGCTTCTTTACTGCACATGTGGCAGCAAAGAAAAAGAAAGAAGGAGCCTCCATGTTGAACATATCTGACTTCCAGGTATCCCTTTTCTATTGGCACAGCTGTTGGCATTCACCTGTGCCAGCTTCTAGCTTGCTTTTCTATGTCTGCAGCTTGATTTTTCAGGCTGCCCTTTGTTAGAAAAGAAAGGATTTGGGGGCTGCATTTTATTAAAAGGGAAACCTTACCGATGACTCTCTTACCCTCACTAACTGCCTAATTTTTAGCTCCCGTATCAATCATTCAGTTTCCAAAATTTGAGGGTGTAGGTATCTCTAAGTTGTCACCCAAAGCTAATAATTTTGAATTCTGGGAACTGAGGAGATCATAGCTGACACACTAGAGTATTATAACTTGTAGATAAATAAACTCTACAGTATCTACAGGCTGAAGAAGAGGGAAAGGAGGTGGGAACCACCACAGGGTTCTTTTCCCACCCTTTGTCTAATTTTCACTTGCTTTTTGGATCCAGAATTTGTCTCTCTTCTCTTAACTAAATATGGGTATATGAATTCAACTTCATGAGAATTTTTGTTTTATTGCCCCAAACTTACATTATTTGTGTGCTTATTGGTATTTTATTTTAAATATCTGAATGCTGCTTTTGGTCCTCTAATTATTCTTTGTAACAAACTACAAACTATGGCTTTCTGTACCTTGTCTTGACTTCATGGCTGCATAAGCTTAGAGAGGAAATGTTTTTCTATGAACACATTAAATTCAATAATGTTTACATTTTCTCTTCTTGTATGGATTTCATTTCTTCCAGTTTGTTTTCACTATTTTTTCATTTTGTGCCTTTGTTTTGTAATAAAGATATTCTTGAGCTATCAGGTGATCATCGACTATCCCTTCATATGTAAGAAAGAAGCATGAAAAAAATTTGTGAGCATAAACAGAACTTATAAAATGGTGGTTTTTATCGTAGTGTGAGTGGTAGGGAGCCAGTGGTTTTCACTGCAAATATTTTTAGACATATTTATATTAGTTATGTATATATTTGGGTAAGGTAGTAATTTATCATATAGGTAACATCTCAAGTTCAACTGGGAGTCTTTCTCATAACTTAGGATCTTTCATTTTCTTAGGATCTCAGCGTGACTTCATCTTTCTAATTTTTCAAATTCTACACAAAATTAAAGAAACAATTATTGGACCTATCTTTTACCTTGGCCAAGTCATGACTTTTAGTCTCCTCTTGGATGTATTAGAGCATATGTCAAATTCTTAAAATCTGTTTGTATCCCTTTGGGGACCCACAACGTTAATTCTCGTGCTCAGAAGTGGTCCATTCAAATCCTATAAAGTTCTATAAATTACAGAATTAATAAATCAAATAACTAGAAAACATATTGAGATGATTCAAACCACTGAAGAATGAATCAGTGACCTGATTACTGAGAAATGGAATATAAAACTTTTCCTAGGAAGTCACATATATGCACACACACACACTCATACATATACATATGTGTATGCATATATACATGTATATTTTTATATAATTTTAGTATTATAATCTATAATATTTTGCACTTATGGGCATTTATGTACAATCAGTAAGTTTAATTGCTCAGTAGTCGAGTGGGTCTATTTTAAGCTTCTAATTCATTTACCAAGTAACTGGAGAAAACCATTAAGGTAATGATCTTTTGTTTATTTAATCTGAAAGTTTTAATTGAGTGGCTTTTATGTGTCAGATGCTGTTCTAGGAAAATTACAAACTCCAGTCCTGAAGTTTTGGACCTTATATTTCATTGAGGAAATGTGTAAATACGTATGTATGTATACACACACAAATAGTTGTATAATTACATTTCAGGTAGTGATATTTTTATGAAGAAAACCTGTCTTTGTTCTGGCTTTATCTACATTTATCTTTTCATATTTGTCAGATTTTCCTGATCTTCATTGATTGCACAATGTAATTCTCAACTCTCATTTTCTTCACCAGGATTGATTACTTTTTGTATTACTGTTTGTTGATTTTTCATTTTTCCCTGCAATTCACTGTGATGTCAACTCTTGGTCATGTTAAGGATGTTTGTATTCCTAATATAATCAGTAAAATAATAAATAGCTGTGAGCTCAATACTTACGGACTTACTCTTTGCTATACCTTCTCCATCATTTTTGCTTTAATATTACAAGCCTATATTTACTTTTCATGTATTGTTTCCAAGAGCCAATATTTTGGATTCTCTGGCTATGAAAAAGGCTTGACAATAATTTTGATCAAAAAATTCTCTAATGGCTGCAGTGTCACATGAAAGTTTCCTGTCATTGGATACAAACCAGGAAGCTGTGATGCATCCTGTGAAACCTCAAACTTCTCCCCAGTTTGAATATCAATAGCGTAGTCCTTAGTAGTAATTTTACATTCAGCACTTGGGTGAACCACACGCAGACACAGATACATTGCTCTTTTATAATTCATACTAATTTTATCCAGTAAACAGATGAATAGATTCTCCTGCTTTTTCTCTTTTGGGAAGAAACGTGTGTGTGTGTGTGTGGGCGCGTGAGTGCACGTGTGTGTAGTGCATCTATATATATATATATACACATGCAAGAAACATATATAATACACATATATATGACGTTGTTAAAAATAATTGAAACAGAAAGAATTCATATATGGACCCTTGTGTCCTCTGTTTTCTAGCTTTCTGTTTCCCTTTCTATTGACACTGTTGACACTGTTCTCAGGTCATACATAAATGTTTATAAAAACATACATACATGTTTATAAAAACATACATATATGTTTATAAAACGTATTCCTCTGTTATACAAACGATTGCACTTCATATATAGTTCTGTACCATAGTGAGATACTCTAGAGTAAGCTGCACTAAGAAATTATTCCTGGAATGTCAATGTCAAACAGTTATTTCTTGATTGCAGTTTATAACCAGCCTGGGTTGACAGCCAGGAGTGAGAGTACCCCAGTGGTCTGCTCTATTCTGTCACTCAGGGAGCTGGGTTGCCAGTCTCCAACGTTCTTTTTGTCTCCCTCCTCCCCTGCAGAGCAAAAGAGTGGGAGAGGGTGTCATTCAGGAGCAATTAAATGCTTCAGTTAAGTCAATCAGAAGCAATTAAGGAGCATAAGTCTCTTATGCTCACAACCTTTTGGCTATAACTGGTCACATGATGCTGCTGCAGGAAAAAGGCTGGGTAATATGGCCTTCCTGAAAATCATAGCCTTCTATGTGCCCAGAAAATAAAATATATTAAGCATGAGTTTATCATCCACATCTTGCACTTTTATTTAAAAACTAGCTAGCTAGCTATTATCTATCATCTATATCATCTAGCTATTATATATCATCTATTATCTATCATCTATGTCCACTATCTATCTCCTATCTATCATCTATCATCTATCTTTATCTATTTATCAATCTAACATCTTTTTTCTATCATCTATCTATCTATCTATCTATCTATCTATCTATCTATCTATATCTATCTATCATCTATCTTTATCTATCATCTATCTTTTTCTATCTATCTATCTATCTATCTATCTATCTATCTATCTGCCTGACTACCTCCCCCCGCTTCTAGAGCTTGTTATTTGTTAGTATATGCAACTCTTATTTTAAAGCTTAATAATGTCACATTATATGAAAATTCCAAATTTTACTTATCTAATCCTGCACTAGATTGTCTCTAACTGTTTGCCACTATAACAATGCTGCAGTGAATGTCCTTTGTGAACAAATACAAGCATGTTAGTATGATACATTTCTGGAAATGAAATTTCTGAGTCAAATTGTATGGGTATTTAAAATTTTGAAAGATTTATATTTAAAAACTACTTATATTTCCTTTTTGTGTGTTGTGTACATCTTCAGAATATTTGTATCTCTTTTTTTATTTGTAGGAACTGATTTACATGTTGTTTTGGTTTATGACAATTTATGCTCAGTTATTGGAGCATAGATATTAATAGCTATTGTATCATCATAACAAAGTGCCAATTCTGTCACACTTCACAAGCAGGCACTCAATTTGTTTTTTATTTAGAATGTGACCCCTGCTTTCATTTTGTTTGTATTAGTATTTTATTTACTCGTATTATTATTTTGTGGTATTTTTGTTTATATTATACCCTCCTTTCTATTCCTGCCTTTGGAACTACTTTATTTTATTTACATGAAAGTATTGGGTTTTGCTTCGGCATTCAATTTAATTATATTTATCTTTTAGTGGGCAAATTTAGCCAATTTACAATAATTATCAAATTTAGTCTTTCTTTTGGCATCCGTTTGTGTTGTTTACACTCTTTAATAGTTATATGATTTATTTTATTTCCTTTGTGTCTTTTTAATTTATTTCTTTTAATAATTAGGGAGAATTGTAATATTTTTTAGAACTTCCCTTTTAAGCTAAACTTTTTTGCTTATGTTCATATAATACTTAACTACCATATTTTAATGTAATATTTATAAATTTCCTATCATGATCATTGATGAAATTAGTATAATTCATAGTTTCCTTTACCTAATTTTATTAATTATATTTCTTAATGTTTTCTTAATTATACTACTTGAGTTATTAGTTGCAAATGATGCATTTTTGATACTTCAGATATAAAATAGAGGAAATTCAGAATTCCTACACTATTGGACACTTTTTTCTGTCTCACTTTCAATTTTTATTAGTTTTATCAATTTACTGCTTGCCAGGGCATAGAAAAAACACTTTTAAAGCTATTGCTTTGGCATTTCTTTTTGTCATAATAATTTATGGAGTTCTTTATACTCTTTTCTGTGTATAATTTCTCTGTAGCTGAAACAATAGATTATAGTTTGATAAAAGAACAACTTTTTCCATCAGTTTTCAGTTCACTTTAAGATAAAATAACTTTTATTCCTCTTTACAAAGGAACTTAATGGCATTTGAGGTTAAACAGAATGACCTAATAGAAAATATATCAGTTAGAACTATAAGATTTGTAATCGAAAGTGTCATGCTGAGTTCTCAGAATATGATAAGAATATTGATTAGAATATATTCCCAAAATGAATTATCAAATTTCTATTTGTTTTATTGGTAAGATGTTTACAAAAGGAATTGATATATCTGGTTAATTTGCTTAGTAACATATAATGCTAATATAATTTAAGACTATTGCTTAAGAAATGAATCCTATATTTGTATAGCTCAAGTGAAGTCAGAAGTTTAGAACTGCAAATCATAAAACTATACAAAGTTTATTTTAAATAGTATGTGAAAGATCAAATAGTCAATCCTTTGAATTTAACTACAGGGAAACTTAGGGGTACTGTTTATGGTGGAATAATAAAATTAATAGCTTAAATAAAGGCTTAAGAATGAACTCTTATTTATTTGCTTCATTAATAGAGCATTTCAGTGTTATTTACATTTTAGAAGTTCTTGATTAAGAGTGTCACATCTTTAAAAATGAAAAGTCACACTTCTAACATTGCTAGTGGGTACATCATCTTTCTGTCAAAGACACTGCATCTGTATATTGTTTTATATTTAAAATTCATATAGTATATCAAGCATGTAAAATAAATAGAGAATTTTATATTCAACACCCATGTGCTGAAGTTAAAATTCATCTCCATTTATTTCAAATTATGCATATTTTTGGGATAAAACATCACGGTTTTGCTCTCTGGGGCCTTTGTGTGTGATTTTTCAGATTGTGTGTGCAGTGCTCACATACCCTGAACTCTAAGGGAAATCATGCTCGCGGACGATGCAGAACACATCCTTCACAGCCTAAGGCAGCCCTTATTCCGTCCCTTTAAATAATTAGTCATTATTCTGTATTTGGATTTATAATTTCCAGCTATGCTTGACTGTATACACATGCAGACCCTAATTTATTAAACAGGAATTTATTAAGGGTATGAAACAGAGGTACCTTATTTTTCTCCAGATATCGTCTTTAACCATCCTGCAAGATTATCTTCTTCCACTCTCAGCCTCTCAAAACTAAATGTATTTAATATATATGGATTTATTCAGGTTGTTTTTATTTCTTGACATTGTTTTACTAACTTGTATCTTTCTAGAAAAGAGTGAAATAAATATTTTTCTAATTTAATGGTGTAACACAATACATACTGTCTTTAATGATTAACTACTAAATGAAGTAATATATGTGTCATGCTTAGAAAAATGTTTGGAACATCATAAGGGCCATATAAAACTTAGTTATTAATGTTATTGCAATGTAATTTTTAAAAACGAATGTATCAACAATTAGTAATTATATCCATTTTATTCCAAATTATTTGATGATGTTTTCTCTATTTTTATTAAATAACACTTTCAAAATATTTTGCTGTTTTGTCTTATATTTCCCTTTATTTTTAAATTCTTAAATTCATAATATCCCCATTTAACTACTCAGTATCTCTAACCTCCTTCCTAAGATCTTAGGTAGCTTTAAATCTGTTCATATTTCCTCTCTTATTCTTAATTTCTGGCTCCATTATTAAAGTTCTAACTTTTGTAAAACGACTAAAGATAGTCCCTTTTTAAATTGTTTCATACAATCAATGCTTGTTTAGTTTTAACCATGGTTTATATTTTTCATACTCCTTTCCTTTAGGGTTAAATATCCTTATTCTTGAAGAAAGTCTTTTCAAGGAAATATTAGTGCTAATAACTTTCAGTCTTCTCATCAAAACACCTGTATTTTTTTCTAACTCTTGAATAGTGTCTTAGCTGCTGTTAGAATGCCAGAGGAAACCAGGTGTTTCCTCTCAACACCAGAAGACATTTCTCAAATGTCTTTTGGCTTCTTTTTTAAGCCATTGACCAGTCTACTTGTTAGCATCACTGTCATTTCTATGTTGCTAATGTCTTTTCTCTAAGCTTGTTTCAAATAGATTCTCTTGTTTTTGAAGTTCTGTAGTTTAATACATGCATCCACGTGAGATTTCTTTTTATCATGTTAAGGAAATACTGTGCTTTTTGAATATGAAGATTTATGTCTTGGAAAATTTATGTCATGGAAAATTAACCTCTTCAAATATTGTCTGATATAGTTTAGCTCTGCATCCCCACCCAAATTTCAGCTTGAATTGTAATAATTCCCACATGGCAAGAGTAAGATCAGGTGGAGATAACTGGATCATGGGGGCGGTTTTCCCTATGCTGTTCTTGTAACAGTGAGTGAGTTCTCACGAGATGTGATGGTTTTATAAAGGGTTTCCCCATCCTCTCCGCTCTTTCTTTCTCCTGCCACTCTGTGAAGAGGGGCTTTCCGCCATGATTTTAAGTTCCTGAGGCCTCCCCAGCCATGCAGAACGGTGAGTCAGTTAAACCTCTTTTTTTTTTTTAAAATAAATTACCGAGTCTTGGGTATTTCTTAATAGCAGTGTAAGAATGGACTAATACATCGCCTCTCTGCTATTCTCTTCCTTTACTTTTAGAATTCTAATTAGATATTGGTATGATGTTATCACACTTTCTCTCATGCTTTTCTCTCAGACGTCAGCATTTCCGTTCTTTCCTTCCTCCCTCCCTTCCTCCCTCCCTTCCTCCCTTCCTTTCCTCCCTTCCCTTCCTCTCTTCCCTCCGTCCCTTCCTCCCTTCCTCCTTTCCTCCTTTCCTCCTTTCGTCTTGCTCTGTCGCCCAGGCTGGAGTGCAGTGGCGCGGTCTTGGCTCACTGCAACTTCCGCCTCCCGGTTTGAAGTGATTCTCCTGCCTCAGGCTGTGAGTAGCTGAGACTACAGGCGCACGCCGCCACGCCCGGCTAATTTTGTGTGTTTTTAGTAGAGACAGGGTTTCACCATATTGGCCAGGCTAGTCTGGAACTCCTGATTTTGTGATCTGCCCGCCTTGGCCTTCCAAAGTGCTGGGATTACAGGCGTGAGCCACCGCGCCCAGGCCCCATTTCCCGTACATTTATCTCCCTTTACTGCTTTCTTTGTGGTGTCTTCAGATTCACCGTTGAATGCATGAATTCCTTCTTCAACTGTTTTTAGTGTCCTTTCATAATAAGTTACTGGATATTATATTTCCAAAATTGCATTTTTTCTTTCAAAGTTACCTGACTTTTTTCATATTATTCCTTTCACATTTTTATTAAAAAATGTCTATTAAGATTCCATTAACCGAAGTACTCAAATAGCTAATTTTCTTGTTACTTCTGCAGACTGTTTTACCTACCGTGTTTCTTCATGTATATATTAGCTTGGAGTTTAAGGGTTTGTTGTTGTTGTTGTTGTCGTTTCCGTAGCTTTATACCTGGGGAGGTTATGTATGGGAACGCACCAAGATCTGTTAGAGAATGTTCCCACTATAGCAGATAAATTTTTACTTCAGTTAAAAGGAGTCAGTTTTTGTGTTCCTCTCTCACCTGGGGCTCTCAGAAAGCACAAGCGGCTTTCATTTGCAGGAGATTCTTCTCTCTACCTTACCTCCTCCGACCCGCCTCCCAACCCAGGGTCAAAGGACCTGACTTTATGCCAAAAATCTCAACTAAGACTCTTACTTCCCAGAGAATCCAGCTACATGCTTCTCACTCTATTCTGTTAGTCTCCTCTTGATTTGAGAGTCAGGTGGCTTCCCTTATTTTCCAGAGAGTTCAGTTGTGCATTGAGAAAAGATCGTTTGTTATATTATCACTTTGATTTTAAGGTATTTACTGTGGGAACATTTTCAGGTTATTTATTTTGCTATGTTGACTTTAGACCATGATGTTTTGTTCATTTGCGAGAATAATCACTGTTGTTTGGCTGGGTTGGAATATTTAAGGATGTAGGGGATAACAAAATTGTCTCCTAAGTCAGTTAAAGCTTACACATAAATTATTATTGCACATATTAATACATACAACTCCTAACAAAAGTAGGATGAACAAGGAAGTGGGATTATAAAATAAAGAATTATATCTAAGTGATATAATCGTGCATATATATAGCATTATCCATGAAATTTCTACTGGATATGTGGTGTTATAAAGTCATTTTCAGGATTTACCTCCCAAATAAAAATTAAAAATCATGTGTATTTGAATAATTATGCACATGTAATGTCATGTAACGATTATAATAAATTTTCGTCATTTGGAGAATTAATATCAAGATAATGACTTTGTAATTCATGTAACATAAATTAATAAAATATATAGACACAGAACAGAGTAATGGAAATGACCTGAGGTTTAATGTATATTTTAAATTACAAACATTGAGAAATTTAAATTTACAACTTATTAAGATAAAATATTAAGGTAAATCGACTTCCTTGAGGAAATGCTCATGAGAAAATGTGTATGAACAAGTTTAAAATATACATGGTCCACTTTGCAATGTTCTATTTCACCAAAATACCAAAAAGTGTATCTGTAGGTCAGGGGATTATAGATGTTTAATAATTTTATTTTGACATTTTGCTGCATTTTCTAGATTTTCTACAATATGCTTGATTATTTTCAGTAGTAAAGAAATCCAGTAACTGGTATAAAAAGTGCTTCTATTTAGGTATTTGCCAGCTTTGTGATAGTTTAAAAATACAAGTTTAATTTGTTTACTGCTAGAAATAATTTTGTGGCCGTCACAGACTTAACTCTCTCAGATATAATAATACTGTAAATTGGTAGTCTTCCTGAGGGTCACTTACTGAGGTAACTTACAATGTTACATTTATAGTAACATAAGGTTTGTATACTACATCTCAGCAAAGAAATAGCAATTCTTTTCAACAATGGAAAAGTTCATGAAACAGAAGTTCATTACTTTCTGAGTCTACTTTAGCTTTCTGGTTTTACTGTATACTTTTATTTTTTCAATTTTTTTATATAATGTGAATGTCATATAAATATTTGAGCATGTACCAAGACATTTAAATCAAAATGCATCTTATTTCGTTGAAGAAAATTAAAAACAATTTTAAAGGACAGTAATCATTTTATTTAAAAATAGCTAATGAGATTCAGGTTATAATAATGTGATGGCATTAAGGTTTTAGATATTCAAATTTAAATAGTTAAAACTTTACTTAAAATATCATACATTAACTTAAATCCTGTAATTTAGCTTGAAATTTTATACTCTTGAAACCACATCTTATCCAAATAATCCTCACATAGTCACAGTCTCTTTAAGATTACTGCTTTTGTAATTATATTAATTTGATCACAAAAAAAAACTAAGAGGATTTTATAATGAGAAAATACATGATTGTCTTCATCTCCATCTCTGTCCCCTAACACAATGCCTGGTTCTCAAAGATAACGTCATTTTTAATCCTCTTGTGCATCTAAAGCAAAACATAATAAACTCCATCCCACCCCACCCCTGGTACTGTACTGAAATTTAAATAAAATTAACTAAGCAAACAAATGATCAACTTTGTTTCCTAGGCTGCAAATGTGTAACTTCTTGGGAATACAGTTGCTAGCTAAAATACATATTTCACTGTCAGAAAAAGCTCTCAGCTTTGCCACTTCTTAGCTCTGTGGAAAATCACAGAACTTTCTTCGTAGAGTTATTACATGTCTAAATTATGTGAATCTTGTATTATGGAGACAGGCCACCTAGTAATATATCAATTACTATTATTATTGTTTATTCTTTTATGTTTATAGAATTATACATAAATACTTTAGAGCTATGTTGTTTTGGGGTCACTTTTTCTTGAAAAATTGCTGCAAAATTTGAGGTAGTATGTAAAAACTTTCACCCTATTTATTTAAGTATTTAAAGGCTTCGAAGTATATCTACACATGTATATTTTTCTTTGGCTTACCATAAATGTCAGTTGAGACTGGCAGGGTATCACCTGAGATGGGGACAGATACTGTCAGTGTACTTTTCCATCTTTTAATGCCTGCAGAACTTGGAAGATCAAGTAGCTGATGATCAAATCTGTTAATATTTAGGAAAATCATGTATTAATCTAATAGTTGTACCAATTAGAGTTTTAAAGGAAGTATTACCTTGGAATGAGTAAGCTCTTTAAGACTTTTACAAAAGCACAGGCATTCTGTAATTCATCAAGTTGTGAATAAACTCATTTCCTGTTACTTAAGAAGAATATATAACTGGTCTGGGGTATATAACAATTACTTATAAAAATGAAACAAAGTATATCATATCCAGGAAGAAATAAAATTATGTATAATTGATATAAAACTGTGGAAATGCATTCCCACTGGGAAATGTTTCTCACTATGTATTTGAAATTGAAAATACTTAGCATACAGTAAGTGTGGTAGTGTAAAAGTAGCAGTCATTTAAATATAATGAATGTAAAGCAACGTTGACATCAATGTTTCTTTTTTGTTATAAATCTCAAAAAGTATACGTTCAATAAGGTTTCTATTATTTGGAAATATTTATATTCAAGAAATTAAATAAGTAGCATATACACTGTTAAGAGTTTGACTACTTCTTGGTGAGATTATTTATAGCCCAAGTAAAAGTCAGATGTCATTGATAATTCATGTGCATAGATGAGTTACGTGTGTGTGTGTGTGTGTATACGTATGTTTCTTAGCGTGGTAGGAACTTAAACATTTTCCAGAATTATAAAGACGGTCTTGTTACAGTTAAACAGTTCACGCTGAAAATGTGTATGCTTGTTGAGACTCTGTGCTCAGAGGAAATTTCTGCCGATGGGAAGAGTTTAGTTAGAGGCATTAACCCTCCTTAGAAATGAATGTTAGATATTAGGGAGAATGCAGTGGAGGCCTGTTTTTTCTGGAGTCTGATCAAAGTCGTGTGTATGAATGTCCCTTACTTATATTGCGGGGGTAGAGAAATGAGACCTCCTCCTTTTCACATTTTAAGTATCTATTAGTATATCATAAAATTCTATATGAGTGTTTTTAGAATATGAAGAATAGAAAAGGATATTTACCTCTACTCCCTCTTTCAGGCTATCAAAATAATAAATGTTTCTGAGGACTGGCTACTTTGCTAAAATTTTTCCATGTTACTTTCAACTCTTAGCACTCCCAGAAGATACATTGTATTATTTACTTTTATAAATTTGGATACTGAAACACAGAGAAGCTAAATAAATTATTCAGGATCAGAGAGCCAAGAGTTGCACAGGGTCCCAAATGGTTTCTTTAGGACAAAAAAAAAAAAAAAAAAAAAAAAAAAAGCATCCAGGTTCCAGCAAGAAAGACAGAAAGGTAGAAGTTATATGCAGTTATATGCACTCTCTTAAAAAACCCATTCCAGAAGTTGCAGAGCTCATTTTAGACTCTATCTCATTAGCCAGAAGTTAGTGACAGGGCCCCCACTGAATCACAGGGAAGTCTGGAAAACACATACAGTCTTTATTCTGGAAGGCTGTGCTCATCTAAATTTTCTAACTATAAAAGGATATAAAGGCATGTTTTGGTAGATAACTTGAAACCAAGTTTCCATCAAGTTGTTCTAATCAATTATCCTCATTCTTTTGAGTGTCTTTCATGACTTCATCAATTCAATCTGTCACCAAAAACCCTTGCAAATTAAAGATTGAGTAGTCTACATTTCCAATTGCTGAATTTTTCCACAGATTTAACCCAGGAATAATCTTCTGACTTGGATTAATGAGGATTTACCTAGACACAAGAAGAAGCATGTGCATTCATCTGTTGAATTATTGCTAAGTGAATTTTATATTTACAATAAAAAACCCAAAAGATCAGATTTATTCTGTCGTGTACTGGGGAATTGAAAAATTTTCATGATCCATTTCAAATTCCAGTGTTGAATGCAATAGAGCGTAGGGAGTTTTGGAAGGATAGACATAGGATTTTAATTCTTACTTTTCTGCATACCCCCTGTACAAACTTGGGACTTAGATTTCTTATCTGGAAAGTATGCCTAATAATACATGCTTTGAGTAATTCTGAGAGTATCAGACACAGTAAGTGCTATATATGGGTGTATGTACACATTTGTGAGTGTCTGTATATATTTACCTATGATTTTTAAAATAAAAACTGTCATACTTTATGTTAATACGTGGTAACTAGATTCCCCCTATATTGCATATTGTAAGATCTTTTATATACAAAAACATGTATCTGCACTAGTATTCTTTTTTGTTTTATTTCATTTTATTTTTTTATTTTTATTTTTTATTATACTTTAAGTTATGGGTTACATGTGCAGAACGTGCAGGTTTGTTACATAGGTATACACATGCCATGGTGGTTTCCTGCACCCATCAACCCGTCACCTACATTAGGTATTTCTCCTAATGCTGTCCCTCCCCTAGCCCTCCACCCCTCGATATTCCCCAGTGTGTGATGTTCCCTTCGCTGTGTCCATGTGTTCTCATTGTTCAGCTCCCACTTATGAGTGAGAACATGCAGTGTTTGGTTTTCTGTTCCTGTTACTGTTTGCTGAGTATGATGGTTTCCAGCTTCATCCATGTCCCTGCAAAGGAATGCACTCATCCTTTTTTATGGCTGCATAGTATTCTCTGGTGTATATGTGCCACATTTTCTTAATCCAGTCTATTATTGATGGACATTTGGGTTTGTTCCAAGTCTTTGCTATTGTGAATAGTGCTTCAATAAACATACGTGTGTGTGTGTCTTTATAGTAGAATGATTTATAATCCTTTGGGTATATACCCAGTAATGGGATTGCTGGGTCAAATGGTATTTCTAGTTTTACATCCTTCGGGAATCGCCACACTGTCTTCCACGGTGGTATTCTTAATCAACCTGTGGTGTCACATTCTGTTGATTTCCTAGAGTATAAAAACAAAGACTATTGATAAAGTATATAAATATTAGAAGAACAAATCTGCTATTTACAGATGGCATGACTTGTACATTAAACATTGAAGAAAATTTGGAATGAATTATTTGAATTAATAAGACATGTTGGTAGGTGGACTGGTTGTTTTCATCAGCTAGCAAATGTTTTTTGAGCATACCTGTCTTGGTTGCATCTGTGAATATAATAAATAGTCTTGACTTGTTTCAGCCTACATTCTAGCGAAAACTGGGTAGAAAGGAAATACTAAATAAGAAAATAAATCATATAATTGTTAGAATGGAAAAGAATAAGGCAAAGTTAGAGTCAGACATGCTGGGATGGAGTAGAGATTCCTGTTTATTATTATTATTATTATTGTTATTATTATTATTATAGTTTAAGTTCTGGGATACATGTGTAGAACGTGCAGGTTTGTTACATAGGTATACACATGCCATGGTGGTTTGCTGCACGCATCAACCCATCGCCTACATTAGGTACTTCTCCTAACGCTATCCCTCCCCTAACCCCCAACCCCGACAGGCCCCTGTGTAAGATGTTCCCCTCCCTGTGTCCATGTGTTCTCATTGTTTACCTCCCACTTATGAATGAGAACATGTGGCATTTGGTTTTCTGTTCCTGTGTTAGTTTGCTGAGAATGATGGTTTCCATCTTCATCCATGTCCCTGCAAAGGACATGAACTCATCCTTTTTTTGGCTGCATAGTATTCCATGGTGAATATGTGCCATGTTTTCTTTATCCAGTCTTTCATCGATGGGCATTTGGGTTTGTTCCAAGTCTTTGCTGTTGTGAATAGTGCCGCAATAAACATACGTGTGCATGTGTCTTTAGAGTAGAATGATTTATAATCCTTTTGGTATATACCCAGTAATGGGATTGCTGGGTCAAATGGTATTTCTGGTTCCAGATCCTTGAGGAATCACCACACTGTCTTCTACAGTGGTTGAACTAATTTACACTCCAACTATTTCTATTTTAAATGCAGTGCTCTGAGTAATCTATGTGAAAGTAACATTTGGGCAAAGATATATAAAATGGTGAAAGAGATAGCCAAGTAGATTTCTTGGATAAGGGAATTAAAAGGTGAAGGAGCAGTCAGTGCAAAGGTCCTGAAGTGACTGAGTGCCTGTCTTACTTGTGGAGTGGCAAGAATGTCCTGTGCTAGAGGAGAAGGCAGGGAAGAAGAGGCAAGGGATGTAGTTGGACACTAACGGGAAGCTGAGTGCCCTAGTGTACATGTTTAGGACTTTGGCTTTTCCTATGAAGCAAATATGGAATCACTGCAGGATTTTGAGCAGAGGGGAGCCATGGTCTGATTTACATTTCTGAAGGACATCTTAGCTGCTGTGCTTTGAATAGACCATAGAGGATGCTATGTTCTTAATCTGTCCCCCAGAATTCATGTGTTGGAAACTTAATCCCCAATGCAACAGTGTTGGGAGGCGAGGCCTTTTGGGAAGTGTTTAGGTCATGAGGATTCTGCCCTCATGAATAGATTAATGCTGTTATAAAAGGGCTTGATGGAGGGAGTTTGTCCCCTTTTGCCCTTCTACTTTCTTCCATGTGAGGCCACATCAAGCAGGCATTCACCATACACCAGATGCCTGCACCTTGAACTTAGACTTCTCAGCTTCCAGAATTAATTTGAAACAAATTTGTGTTCTATATAAATTACCCATTCTGTGGTATTTTGTGATAGCAGCACAAATGAACTAAGACAAAGGGCAGTCATGTATGCCAAGAGCATGCAGGGGACTACAGCAGTAATTCAGGGGAAGTGTCATGTGGCATGATGACTCAGATAAGGGTGGTAGTGGAGGAGGTTGGGAAAGTTGAGAATTATGGATATATTTTGTAACTAGTTGCAACTGGATCATCTGAAGGATTACATAGGGTTTGTGAAAGAAAGAGAAGGGTTGAAGATTTCACCAAGGTTTCTGGACTAAACAACAGGCAGGACAGAGTGTCATCAGCTGAAGGGAAAGACCGTGGGAGGACAATCATGAGAGAAGATCACAGGTTACATTTTGAACATGTTAGGGTTGAGACGTCTGTTGATATCCAAATGCAGAATTTTAAGGAGAGCTTAGGTGTACAAGTCTGAATTTCAGGGAATAGTTTTAGGATGGGGATGTAAATTTGAGAGGCCTCAGCAGATAGATGGTATTTACAATGACATCATAGGTGAGTACATTTAAGTAATGAAGAGGGCCAGAAATTCAGCCCTGAAAGCCCTCCTAAGTTAAGAGGTGGAGAAATAGAACCAAGTAAAGGAGACCGAGAGGGACCTCTCAGAGTGACAGAAGCAAAATTTGGCAGGTGTTGTACCTGAGAAGTCAGATGAAGACAGTCAAATGATGCTGACCAATCAAGCACAAATCTGGACTGATAATTACTTAGGCTTTAGCAATGTGAAGATCATAGGAACATAGGTTAGACCAGTTGCACTTAAGTGGTAGACTAAATGCTTGATTGGCCTATTGGTTTGGTAAGACTGCTTTAGCCAAGAAACATGAACAAAGTGGCATAAACAACAGAAGATGATTGCCTCACAACTCTGGAAGTGAGAAATGGGAAATCAAGGTGTTAGCAGGGTTGGTTCCTTTCAAGGGCTATGAGGAAGAATCTGTTCCTGCAATTAAGGTAACAGAGAAGCTAAGGATGTTGTTGGTAATGACTAGGTCTAGAGGGTGATTATGTCAGTGAGTTGCTACGTGAAGGCAAAGATAAAATATCTGTGGAATAGTGAAGTTCAAGAAACTGAGAATGCAAGTTGATTGATGGATCATGCGGGTGTCTATGAAAGTGAAAGGATTTAATTTTAGAAATGAAGAAATATAAAGCAGGGAATTAGGAGCCAAATCATACGAAAGTGATGGATTGACCTAAGAATGAGTGGGTAACAGAAGAAATGAGTAGTCATGGGAAATGAGTAGTCATGACGGTACATGTCATGTAACAGAGTTTATTGACTTAGGGTCTTAATGGAAGTCCTAATGGTTTTTCCGCAATCTTTGGTATTCTGTGACTTGTAGAAGCAGTACCCTGATCTATATACTTTTATCTTGACAAGGTGCTTGAAGAGTGTGTGTGTGTGTGTGTGTGTGTGTGTGTGTGCGTCTCTCTCCAAATTTCCACTTTTTATAAGAACAAGAGTCATATTGGATTAGGGACTCACTCTACTCCAGGATAACCTCATCTTAAGTAACTACATCTTCAACAGCCATGTTTCCAAATAAGGTCACATTCTGAGATACTGAGGGTTAAGACTTCAACATATGGATTTGTAGAAGGACACAATTCAATTCATAATGATTGCAGAGAAATTAAAGAGAATGGAAAGAGAGGGAAGACAATGGAAAGAGGAGACAGTGAGTATGGAATACTCTTTTGAGGATTTTTCTGTAAAGGGGCACAGAGAAATTGCACAGTGACTGGCAAGAAGTGGAGTTAAGAGCTTTTTTACATTTTGGTTTATTGTGTTTTTATAATAGAAAATATCATCAAGTTGATGTACACATAAGACTGATTTGGGAGAAAGGAAAAAATGTGTGGTTATACCTGAGAGAAGGGAGAAATTCTGTAGTATAAGCAAGCAATAAGAAATAGGATCAATTACCCCTGAAGGGGCTGACTTTAGGCAGAAGACATGTAGTTGATTCCCAGAAACAGATGGCAGGGATGTATATACAGATACTTGGAGTGAGGGCATATGTGGTGGTGGCATTCTTTGAAATTTTACTTGTGGTCACTTCATTTTTCTCAATGAAGAAATCGAGGTTATCAGCTTAGAAGGAAGGTGGGGCAAAAGATAATCAAGGTTTGAAGAAATAAGAGAAGTGTAAACTGTAATACAGAATACAGGAGGAGTGATTGGACTAGGAAGTATACCATGCTTGCATAAAAGCAAGCATTACAGGCCCCCTTGAAATTAATTGTCATGAATTCAAAGTGAAACCACAGACATTGTTTCTAGTTTTTCTTCAGCCACATTTAACTGCAAAGGTACAGACTCTGTAGGCAAAGAATAGGAATTTATCAGGATTATGTTTTTTTCTCCAAGTGAATGTGGTAGTGAGAAAGAGGCAGGAGAATTGAGGTTGCATGCTAGGTAGTGATAATAAGTTTGCCCTCATGGAAATTTGTCTTAAATATAAAGAGGGCAGAGGGGCAACATGTGGAGGAGAGACAGTATAAAGATGGGAGGATTCATGGGTTGATGAGCCTGGTGTAGGAGTTGGTGTACTGCAGAAAACAAACTGAGAAAAACAAACTGATAAAATACCTTTGGAATAGAGAAGTTCAGGAAACTGAGAACCCATGTTGATTGGAGGATCATGAGAATGTATATTCTTCATTTTTGAAATGAAGAAATAGAAATCAGGGAGTCAGGAGCCAAATCACAGAAAAGTGATGGATTGACCTAAGAAAGAGTGGGTAACAGCAGAAATGAATAGTCATGACAGTACATGTCACGTAACAGAGTCTATTGACATAGAGTCCTAATGGAAGTTTTAGTTAGGCAAGAGGGAAAACAATCTGGGACTGACAGTGAGGAGCATAGTGGTTTTACCATTCACCTACACACTCAAAGGTAAGTACAAGGAGTGTGAGAGGGAAATTGGAGGGGTTGTAAGGAAAGCAGTGTCCTCAGAAGAGCTTGGTTTCTGTTAGATCCAGAAAATCAACTCAATGTATGGAGAAGAGATTCAGGGTAAAGAGATTTTGCTGACAATGGACCAATAAGTCCACAGTGCACAGTGGAATCTTCCAGCGCTTGGGAGGGGTGAATAGAGGGGCAGAATAATGGATGTGAAGAGTCTCATGAGGATTAGAGGATAGTGGCTTAGGTAAGACTGAGATGTCTGGAACTTCTCATGGATATGGATGTCTTAGTTTGTTAGAGCTGCCTTAAAGTACCAACAATGAGGTGGGTTAAAACAACAGAAATTTACTGAACCACAGTTCTGGAGGCTAGAAGTCCTAAATCAAGATGTCAGCAGGGTCATGCTCCCTCTGGCAACTCTAGGGGGAAATCATTACTTGCCTTTTCTAGCTACTGTCTTGCTGGCAACACTTGGTGATCCTTGGCTTGTAGATGCATCGCTGCAGTCTTCTCCCCGTGTGTATTCACATTGTTTTTCCTCTGTGTGTTTCTGTCCCTGTGTCCACATTTCTCCCTTTTATAAGGACAGCAGTCATATTACAGTCCAACCTAATAATCTCACCTTAATGAACATCTATGTAAAGACTGTTTCCAAATGAGATCACATTATGAGGTACTGGAGGTTACGACTTTAACTTATTTGGGGGAAGGGATCAATTGAATCTATGGGAATGACATAAAGAGGAGGGAGGGCATAAAATTACATGTAGTGGACTTGGGGTGACTAGAGTTGGCCAGGATGTAAGATGAGGGACAGAAAGGGGTGGGTGACTGGAGTTTCTTCTTCACCCATTTTGTAGAATGAAAGTGGCTTGGAATACAAGTACTTATTCCCAGCTAAAGTGTTTACCATTGCATACAACCGAAGAAGCCCTGAGTTACTCTTAGACTATATCTAAATTTCCAACAAATTTTAAAGAATGTTCTTAAATAGCATGTTCTCCTTTCAGTTACGCTAAACAACTTCAGACTGACTTTGATCAGCTCTTCAAATTCACTTTCACTAGGCTTTAAAATTGAGTTTGACATATCAAGTAATTCACTAGCAGATTTAAAAGAATCTTTTTTCATTAGTTTTATTAGTTCTACTATTTATCTAACTCTAAGTGATGACTTCTTTAATTTCATGTGCATAGTTATTGCTCATTATTGAGCAACCAATTTCTGCAATAAGGAAAATGAAGGATATTAGGCAGGTATAACTGATTGAACTGAAATCCAGGTAAGCCAAATATATTTCAGAAACTGAAAAGCCGCTAGTTATGTACAATGCCAATTTCTCGGTGAAAAGAATATCCTAAATCTGTAATTTCTAATGCCTTTCACTTAGGGTTTATTTTCTATTACTTTATACCTATACTTAGGCGTGTTCAGGGCTGAAAGTTGACATTAAATAAAGAAATGAACTGTGGAGTGCTCACGCACAGTCCTGTGCACACTCAATGCACAGGGAATAATTTTCGTGGGCAAGAAGTGAGGGAGGATCACGCTAATAATAAAGCAATTTCTTCTAAGTTGTTTTTATATTCTTTTGACAAGTTAAAAATCTCTAAAGCTGATAAAGAGGTTAAGTATGTGAATTGAAGTATTAAGAATACATCATGGTAGAAATATAACTTTAAAACACTAGTCTGCCTTATTGCTTTCTCTTAAAGTTATTTCATGTCATTAATAAAACAATTTTAAAAAATAAATAAGGATACAGAGAAAAAGGTGAAAATTACTTTTCAACTCCTTCCTCTCCACCCTTTTACCCTCCAACATGGAAAAATTTTATGAGCAATCTATTATTATTTGAATCCTTCATTAGTGCACTTAAGTATAAGAATAGACACGAAAACATCCTCATGTAAAATAT
The DNA here is from genome assembly GCF_000001405.40 of Homo sapiens. Taxonomy (NCBI): domain Eukaryota; kingdom Metazoa; phylum Chordata; class Mammalia; order Primates; family Hominidae; genus Homo; species Homo sapiens. The sequence continues at coordinate 16,444,012 of NC_000008.11, read as the reverse complement.
AGTTCTAATAAAATATATTTATTGTGCTGTTTGCTTTCTTCTCTTGACAATGTCTTAGATACTTTTCATATTAGTGCTTGTCTTAGTTCATGTTGTGCTGTTATAACAGAATACCTGAGACTGGGTAATTTATAAACAATAGAAGTTTATTTGGCTTACAGTTCTGCAGGCTGGGCAGTCAAAGAGTATGGTGCTGGCATCTGGTGAGGGCCTTTGTGTTACATCATCCCATGGCAGAAGGCAGAAGGGCAAGAGAGAACAAGATCAAGAGGGAGCTATACTCACTTTTAGAATAAGTCCACTATCATGATAATAAATCCACTCTGTGATAACAACATTAATGTGTTCATGAGGGTAGAGGTTTCATGATCTAATCACCTCTTGTTAGGCTCCACATCCCAATACTGTTGCACTGGGAATTAAGTGTCTAACATGAATTTATGACATATTCAAACAATAGCAGTGTTTATCATTCTATGTCATTCCTTTTAACTGTTAAAGTGCATTTGTTTATATGTAAGTTTATTTAACCAGTTCCTATTGATGGATAGTTCAATCATTTTCAGTTTTTCACTCAGACATATAATATTGCAGTGACCTCCCTTGTACGTTTCTCTTTTATTTCCTTAGACTTGCCAAAATAAAATGAACTGTTAATTCCTATGGGATACACATTGTAATACTTAAATGAATATTGTTGTTTCTTCCAAAAAGACTGTAAATTTAGACCCTCACCAGCCGTGAGTTATTGTAGCAGATTTTTTCATGTGCTTGAAAGTTTCATGTGCTTGAAAATGCTTGTAACTTGTTAGGTTACAAAGCAGAACATAAACTTAATTCTCCATGCTTTCTCTCTTTCCAGTAACTTAAGTTAGTTGTCAAATTTCATACTTTTTTTGAATTTTTGCTGAATTTATAAATTTATGAGGAAAATATGACACTTCAAAAATGTACAGTTGACCTTTAAACAATGTGGGAATTAGGGACACCAACCCCCTGTTAGGTCAAAAATCTGCATATAACTTTTGACTCCCCAAAAACTTAACTACTAATAACGTACTGTTGACCAGAAGTTCATAACAGAAACAATTGATTAATGCCTATTTTGGTCTTTTGGGAATGATATTGTGGATGGTGAACACCTATTTTGTATATGTATTATATATTGTATTCTTACATCAAAGAAAGAGAAAAGAAACTTCAAGAAAGTCATAAGAGAAAATATCTTTTCTATTGATTATCTACAAGTGGGTTTTCACAAAGGTGGTCATCCTTGTTGTCTTCATGCTGAGTAGGTTGAGGAGAAGGAGGAAGAGGAGTGGTTGGTCTTGTTGCCTCAGGGGTGGCAGAGGTTGAAGAAAACTTATATATAAGTGGAACTGCACAGATGAAACTGTGCTGTTCAAGGGTTGATGTTATTTTTCCATCCAGTATCTTGGTAGAGGTTTCCATTAATTGAGATTAAATATTATCATTTTTCAATTATATTTAGTAAATTACTAGCTATGTCATACAATTATAATTTCGATTATTTGTGTTTTATAAATTTGCTTTGTGAATGAGATATTTTGGATTCATTACATTTTAATTGCTTATGGATAGTGTTTAGCAATGCATTATGTCATTGTCGTGATATATTGAGTAATCTTGCTAAAGTTTCTTCTTAATAATACTTAGTTTACAGTGATGTATGTTGATTTTTATGTAGGATATCATGATCTCTGCAAATAAAAACAGCTTTTTCTTTATTTTATTCTTTTCTTATTGTTTTGGATTGGTTGATTCTTGACTTAATGGAAACATTTCTATTAATAGTTGTTGAACATAAAGTGTTAATTTTTGTATGTTTCTCATAGATACACTTTATTGCGTTTTGGAAATTATACAAACTAGAATTTTTAAAAACCTGAAACGGACCCCAAATGTTATATGTAGACCTCATTATACTAATTGCCAAGCTACATATTATTTTCCTTCTTTATTAAAAAAGTCCTTACTTAGCAATTGATATTATTTCCTTTTCTATTATTCTTTATTTACTGTTTTTAGATTAAATTTCTAATAGTGTACACATCTGTATTACCCTTTCAGAACCAATTTTTGATGTTTATTATCAATATGCTCTTTGTTGACTTGCATTTATATTCATCTTAAAGTTAATGACCTTTATTTTTTTCATTTATTTCCATATCGTTTGGATTTTTTTTTCTAATTTCTCTGGTTGAGGGCTGTATTTGTTTCCTAGGGCAACCGTAAAAAAGTATACAAACTGTGTGGCTTAAAACATCAGAAATTTATTATCTCACAGTTTGGAGGAGAATCCTTGTGTCTTCTTAGCTCCTGTTGCTTTACTGCCAGTCTTTGGCATTCATTGGCCTGGAGGTGCATAACCCCAATCCCTGACTTCATTGTTAAATGATGTTCATCCTGTCTGACTCTGTCTTCACACGGGCATCTTCTTGTAAGACACCAGTCATATTTGGTTACAGACCTACCGCATTTCAGTGGGATCTCATCTTATCAAATTACATCTGCAGTGACTTATTTCCAAATGAGGTCATATTGTAAGGTACTGGGATTTAGAAGTTTAACATATCTTTTTTGAGAAGATGCAATTCAACTTACAACAATGCTTCTTTATCAGTATTTTTTCTCCATTTCTATTAATAAATCCTATCGATTCTTATTTATGTATTGCTGTGACCACATCTCATAAGATTTGATATGTACCTTAAGAAAATTATGCACAAAGTTAGAGCTGTATTTTATTAACTAGTACTAAAGAAATAAACACATTTCTCTTTAGAACTAATGGCAGAATTTTTTTTGATAAAGATGATCAGAGATAGAATAGAGAGATTAAAAAAAGATCACCTGCAGAGAGTGTTGCCAGAAGGTTGGGTGAGAGATAGAATGTGAAGACTAATGTCAATAAAAATTAGGATATTTGATATGGAAATACCATAATGGAGATGAAACATGAGACAATTAAAGTTCAATAGGAGAGGATCAGAGGCAATAATGTAGAGCCAATCACACAGACAAGTGAAATTTAGAAATTCTGGCAAATGGAAATGCCTCTACCATGACACCATTGACCGTGATGGAAGCTTCCAGGATAGGACTAATGGGAGTAAAGCAATGCTTAGTGTTATAAAGAAACTGAATTGTAGGAAAGTTTCCAAAGTGAAATCTCAGGGAAAACTAAATTACTTAGTATTTAAACTGTACAGAAGGTACAGACTAGATCTCAAAAATATCATAATTTTAGAAGTAGAATGGGGGGATAGTAAGATCACAAGTGAGTCCCATCATAAAGTTTCTGATGCTTAGCTGCACTGGCTAGAGCAAGAACAGTTTAAATCTTTGTAAATTTTCTCTAGAAAGATTCCTGTATGAGTCAAGTTGCAATTAAGTGGTTTTGCAGCTAGCACTGTATCTGCTATACATGATAGGCACTTAGAAAAAAAAATTCATTGAAATAAATGAAAACAGAGACATAGCATACCAAAATCACTGGGATGCAGTGAAAACAGTGTTAGAAAGACAGTTTATAGCACTAAACACTGACCTTGAAAAGCTAGAAAGATCTCAAATTAATGATAAAAAAAAAAGATTTTTTAAAAGAAAAAAAGTTAATGGTTCCAGTTTTTGGAGATAAGTACTACATGAATTGAAAGGAAATAGTAGTATATAAATTCCTAACGCAGCAGCACGCCATAATGGTTTATTTGCATATGTACTATTGAATTCTATGGAAGGAGCAAAAGTTGTTCAGAAAAGAGCAGAGACTTTTGGAAACCCTGAACATTTTACTCACCTCAGGTATAATTTTTAATGGCTATTTTATTGTAACCAAACAGCTATAAAGATGATCACTTAGGATCATCATGAATAAATTCTACAGTTTTATGTGTGTAATCATGCATCTAGCTATACAAACAGCTTTTCAATCTCGACAAATTTGATGGTTACATAATATCCGGAGATTTAAAGCAAATGAAAAATCAAATTTGAAATAACATTGGTATTTATTATGTAAAGTTTAAACAAGGCATTGCTAGGTGTACACTTTATACGTATAATACATTCCCAACTGCAGGGAAATTCAAGAAAGGATTTATGATAATACACTATATGCTTCAAAATTAAAAACTTGAAACTTCTTACTATAATTCTTTATTACACAATTTGAGTAAAACTATATACTAGCAAGAAAGGCCTATGACCTCTTTATTTTCAGAGGGCATAGATTATGGTGTCAAGGCTATGCTCGTAGATTTAATATTTGTGAGGTAGAAATATGGAATTAAAGTACTCGTTTTGCATTTTATTATGAATTTTCTAAGCAATTCTGTTTATAGAATTATTAGAATAGCAAGTGTTATTGCCATGCTTTTATTTTTGCAAGATACACTACTACAAACTACTAGGAATCTGATCCATCAGAAAATAGCAGAGAGATCACAAGTAAGAAGAGGACATGTCACCTTTGTTTATAATGCAATGTACTGAGTGAATACTGAAATAGAAAGGTTGGTGCTGCTGAGGTCTGAACCAAAATTAAGCCCTTTTTTTTCTGTTATGGGTACTGTTTTTTTATTTCATATGATATGTTGTTTGTTCAGGCAGAATTATTCTGCACTGTCTTCCGTAGCACACACACAGCTTTCAAATGAAATAAACAGTTGTTTTGAGAATGATGTTTTTATTATTATGGTCACTTAAATGACACCTCAGTTTTATCTCCTTTCTCCTTAACAACCTAATTCCACTTTTGTTTATTCTTTTCTCTCACTATAGACAATAAACCTCTGATAAAACATTGTGTGTGTGTGCGCGTGCAAAACTAGAATTTTTTTTAAAAAAAGAATCAAATTACCCTTTCCACAACTCTAACTCATGACTTGGCTAAACCTTACTCATCCTAACATTTAATTCTCAAATTAAATGACATTTCCCCAGAGAAAGCTTTCTTGAGTATCTCCTAAGTTAGGCTTCCTTCTATTAGTCTGTATGCTAATCAATTTTTACTTTTATGTTTGTAATTTTATATTATTTATGCATTGACTGTGTTATCAAATGTGTCTATAAGGACTATAGATCATTGTGAGTTAATGTATTGTTTGGTGCGTAGTAGGCCTATAATAAACATTTGTTAAATAAAAATGAATAAGTGAATGGACTTTTTGTATCCCATTTAAGTCTACAATTTCAATGCTTTTCTATAAAAAGATTTTTGAATAAATAAAAATTATAAAATTGTCAGACTTACTGCTGCCTGCTAACAGACAAATATATAGAGAGAGATAATGTATTTCACAATTGTTTTGGTTGTTGGGATTTTCCTCCCAGATTCTCATTTCAAAGGTGATATTTGGAAGTGCTGGGAAAAATAAGCAGATATAATCTCTATCTCATTTTTCTTTGTGCCTCAAACCGTATCTCTTAGGGTTAGGGATATTTTCATTGTTTATATGAAGGAATACAATTGACTCTTTGGGCCTTCCATCTAGGTTAAGACGTATGTTAAATTATTTAATGCTCTATGTTTTATAAAACAATGATGGAATAAATTGCTACCCTCTTTAGCGTCTAGTCTCAATGCTGTACCCTGACCACTTCTTCCTGAGATTCTGGATCCCATGGGATTTAAATTCCTAGCTCAGGGAGCTAGAAGATATTTCAGATTGTTTGCTTTGCTGGCTAACTGAAACTTATCTCAGGCGTACACTGTGATAAAGGATTTGGAGGATCCAGAAATTCTTAGTATTGTGAAAGGAGGCATCTAAAGACATAGAGAAGTAAGTATGTTGGAAGAGATTTATTATGTGTGACAGTCATTTATTGCCATCCCTCCTTTCTGCTACAGACCTTATCCCTAGAGGTTGTTCTCATCCACCAGACACTGAGAGATACACTGGTGTCAGAAACGTTAGCATCCTTCAGTGCACTTCAGTGACTGTCCTTTGTAAACCAGCGATGCAGGAAGGAGACGATCCATTGGGACAAGCTCCCTGACTTCAGAAAGGTAGTAGCAGCGCAACAGGCAAAGTGGGAGTAGTTGTAATAGTTAACAGCTCTGGTGCCGAACGAAATGATTAGACCTCTGAAAATCGTTGTTATAGGCCAATTCATCATAATGTCTGTAGAACTCAAAAGATGGGAAGCTCACTGAATTCTGATTCTTTTTAACTGTACAAACTCTAGGTGTAATGGGAAAAAAAGTCAAAATTAACACTGAGTTACCACCTTGGGAAGTCAGGAGCCCTCACCCAATTCTTACATCAGAGTCATTGCATAGCCTCCACCCATCTTTTTGAGTGAATGGAAATGTGGGTACTTCTGAAAAAGACTCTTGTGGAAACATCATTAGTTTTTATTATAGATTTTCCTCCTATCTTTTCCTTAAGACACCAAGAGCCTTTTGTGAGAGTCAGCGTGCCCGCTGATATTTGGAGGGTGTTGACCACTGGCTCTGAGATGATGCTGGTACTTGGGGGTACATAACACCATTGTTGTCTTCCAGGCAGGGTTGTGTCTTACAGGCATCAGTTGACAAGTGGAGCTTTGTCCCAACTCTATCTCACAGCCAGCCCAGGGGCTCACGACACAGTTGTGGGTTTTTGTTTCTCAAGTACTCCATAATACCACTTGCACTGTAGCCAATGGCAAGATGATGGCCAGGGTGCTAGATTCTGATGATCAAGGTGAAATATAGTGCTTTCCACACAGTGAGGAAAGGACATTGAAGCTCTGGAATCCTGAGCATCTTCTGTCAAGGAACACAAATTAGGAGAAAACAAAGAAACCTATGCAGACATATCCACAGAGATCAGACCTCAGGAATATAGACTTGATCACCTCATAAGGGATGAAACCTGGCCCACTGAGGTGAAGGCAGAATAAAAAGCGAATATCGATTGGATCAGGGGGAATAACATTATAAATACTGATGAAACCCTGGTGAACAGTTGCAGAAATGAGAACAGTAATAGCTCCTCATATTCTTCTTGCATGATCATACTTAGTAGTACCTAATTATTAATCATATACTTCTTTTTCATTTCTGTAGTACTTTATACTGAATTTTTTTGTCGTGGTTACCTTTTATAATTGGTCTATAATTTACAAAAATAAAGATGGCATCGAAACTGGAAGAGAAGAGAATTAACATTACCTAGAGTTAAATGTAATAACTGATATGACTTTGGGTCTTCCCTTTCATGGAAACAATGAGCACACTTTAATTTGTCTGAGGTCTTACTGTGCTGTTTATGTGGGAGCATGCTGTTGTTGCAGTTGGGAGTTTAAACATGAGAAGAAACCTGTGTGTAAGTGTGGAGTAGCCAAGGGTCAGTAGTGTAGATTGTCTTGGTCAGTATTTATTCTAGCACCCAAAGCTGGGATCCAAAGGTGATTTAGTTTCCACTGGAACAAAGCTTTGGTTCAGAGCTGAGTTACACTGAGAGAAAGGCAAGTATCCACTTTCCTGAACTTTGTCTTGAGACGTGGTATGGCTCTGGCCCCAGTAGCCATGTTGACAGTTTCGGATTTTGTTGCTTTTTAAGTGTGCTGGAATCAGCAGTTACCTTGGTACCCCAGTGCTGCCTAGATTCTGTTCCTGCACCTTACAAACAATTCTGTGAATAAGTCATGTTCCCTATTAAGCCTATTTTTTATTTAAAAATAAATGTGAAATGTCTGAAATTAAGAACACTGGCTCATATAGAGAATAATATTATAGTCACATATCATGTTGGAGTTCAACTAAAAGCACAAATCTGAAGAATTTATCTCACATCTCTAACCTTCTCACTCACTTCTTAAACAGGGATACTCAGCTCTGCCCATCTTAAATGACTGGTATGAAAATCAACTGAGAATGGATATAAAAGTTACTATGAACTTTAAAGTCACATAAACAAAATGTGAAGGTTAATGTCAACCTACAGATAGTTGTAAGAGAGTAAGGTTGTGGTTGAAAATGGGTCCACCATAAGTTGAGAAGGGGAACTTGTCAATATTTAAATGCTTCTAGAAACATCTCAAAAGCATGTATGTATGAAAAATATCTGGAATGTCAGTATTCACTGATCTCTTAAAGGTAAAAAAAAAGCACAAATAATCCACATACAACATGGAGATAAAATAAGATGAAACAATAGAAAGTCATCTTCAAAACTTATTTTATAATTAATATAATTGCAGTTAAGGCATAAAGTGTTCTTAAAACATAAAAGCTAGAAGAGAGGCAAAACATAAAAATGATAATTGCCAAAGATTTTGTATATATTCAATGTTTACAAAAAATATTTTCGTTTCAGAAAGTGAATTTGACAGTTTCATATAACAGTATCACAATTTGAACTGTATTTTAATATGAAAAGAACAAAGAAGTCAGAATACGTAGGACAAGCTCTGAGACAGCTTCTCCCATATGCATTCTTCACAGTAACTTTAGTGCTCAGCATTATGTGTTGATAATTATTTGTCAGTAGTATAATTGTGGACAATGTCGTACAGAAACTTATAAAGGAGATAATTTCACTATGCAGTGAGAAAAATATAAATGAAGGTTGTATTCTTAACAGATGACAAAGGAAAACTAATTCATAGTTGAAACCAATAATACATAAGAAAAGCAAAGTTGTAGCCCTACCAAATGGAGAGATAATTTAAAATGGTGAAATTATACAGCAGTTCTTATAAAGCATGAATTTCCTGCCTTTTTTGTATGTAATACATATGCTTTTAATGTACTGTAAAGTATACATATAACACTAATATACACAATATATAAATTTGATTTAAATTTCATCCCAGTATATGTAGGTAAAGGGGTACAGTTAGACTTGCATTCTTATTTTTTTGAATTTTTTATTTTTTAAATTTTATTCTATTTGAGGTTTCAGGATACATGGGCAGAACATGCAAGATTGTTATGCAGGTAACTTGTGTCATGGTGGCTTGCTGCACCTATCAACCCACCACCTAGGTATTAAGCCCCACATATATTAGCTATTTATCCTGATGCTCTCCAGCCCCCCAACCTCTGACAGGCCCTGGTGTGTTTTGTTCCACCACCCCATGTCCACGTGTTCCCATTGTGCAGCTCCCACTTACGAGTGAGAACATGTGGTGTTTGTTTTTCTGTTCTGGTGTTAGTTTGCTGAGGATGATGGCTTACAGCTTCATCCATGTCCCTGCAAAGAACATGATCTCATTCCTTTTTATGGCTGCATAGTATTCCATGATGTATATGTCCCACATTTTCATAATCCAGTCTATCATTGATGGGCATTTGGGTTGATTCCATTAGACTTGCATTTAAATCTGCTTCACCAACCAGAGTTTTTAGCTGTATGACCTTAGAAAACATCCTTATTATCTTAGACCTATGTATGTCGTCTTATTCAAATTATTTTTTATATTTGTTACTTTTATAAGTTATTTTAAAATTTTGAATTATTCCATCTTGTTTTTGGACCACTGCTTGTTCATTGCATCTTATTTCTGTTTAATATATGCCATATTAACTTGACTCTGGAATTTCACATTTTCCTTTTTTTCTTCAAGTTCTCTTTCATTTTTTAAATTCTCAGTTCTCTATTAAGTCATTCCTCATCTCTTTTTATTTTGATTTCTCTCTTCATGGTATTGTATTTTCCCCAAATGTCTGATAACTATATTTAGGAATAGAGTTTCAGGCTGATTATTACAAATCCTCTGGAATAGGTTTCCACTTTGAGTGTGTAGATCTGATCTCACACTCATTCATTCTCCTCAAAGAGAGGTCTGAGTGTGAGATCCGGGTTAATGAGCTGAATATTTTGACTTGAATGCTCCTTTTGCTTCTGGACAGAACAAACTTCCTTTCATTTTTTCAGCAGATTTTGCTGTGTGGCTGGAGTAGAGGGAAACTTAAACTGACAGCTAATCTTACATAGTTCTTTAATAAATTACCTGTAGCAGACTTTATTTTATAAATACAACAATAACAATATCTCCCATTCTTCATATAATGTGATTTTAACTCTTTTCACTAAAAATGGATTCTGTGATTCCTTGTCTTGAATCTGGGTGGCAGATATGACTTCTTAGGCTAGGTCATAAGAAGTTGTACAAGTTCTTTTTTTTTTTGAGGCGGAGTTTGGCTCTTGTTGCCGAGGCTGGAGTGCAATCTGTTTCTTCTTGGGACACTCATTCTTGGAACTTCACCACCATGCTGTGAGGAAGCCCACGTAACCACATGGAGAGCCTATGTATAGGTGTTACAGCCAGCAGTAACAACTGAGCTCCCAGTTGATAGCTGGTATCAACCATCAGTCATGTAAGTGAGGCTTTGCATAATGCCAGCCCCTGACTGTGGAATCCCTTCTATTTTTTGAGTTACCCCAGTCATTGAGTTAGCTTCAAATTTAGAATCTTTTCAGCTAAGGCCCCAGATATTGCAGAGCAGAGACAAGGTAACACTCTCCAAATTTTTAACTCACTGTCAGAATCCGTAAGAACAGGAAGATGATTACTGTGTTGGGGTCTGTTTTGCCACTATGTCTGTGGTGTTTTTCACTTGTTAAGGAAGATTTCAGTACTACTCTCCTTTACTGTTGCAAGCTATTCTGTTGTGTGTGTTTACTGACTTGGCTCTGACCTAGAAACTTGTCTGTGCTTTACAGAGAAAAAAGACTTCTTGCTCTGAGGCACGTTCTTTCATGCATGTGTTCAGCCTGGTGACTATTGTGTTGATGAATACATCAACATAAGTCACCCACTGCCTGTCTTTAAAAAGCTCATCGATACCGATGTTTACTCAGTGTAACTTGTGCTTTGTTAGGGATTTAAATAGTTGTGCCAGTTCAGTGGAGATTGAATAGGGAGAGTACCTGTGATCTCTCTGCCATCTTGTAATGTTAACCAAGAAAGTCTGGTTAACAGATGCTTCAAAAGCTTTCTTCCAACAAAATAAATCATCATAAAAACATCTAATTGTACCCTTTCATGTAGCGTTTACTTTTATATACTTTATAGGGACGATTGTCTATAAAATAAAACAAAATTTGCCAATCAGTAATATCTGAATCATAAGTAAGCAATGTGAAATGATGAACAATAAGACTGAAGTTTAGGACTGCTTGGAAAAATATTATCAGCCAGATCCTGCCAGTAAACCAGTAACAATTAAGGTCTCAATTCTTCGGGAGGCATTGATTCTGGAAGTCCACTAACATTTCATGAAAGAATTTACTGATTGATTTCATCTAATGATTTGCAAGACTATTTAATGAATTAAAATATGGTAAAAGCCTAGCTTAGTGTCTGGAAATGGACAGAGTCAAAAAGAAGTTGTTACATTATGTTCTCCCTCATCAGTATTTGGAAATCAGATGGGTGATTTGGACTTGGCCAAAATTAACTCTTTAGTAGCATATTCGCATATTTGCATAGATTTTAAAAAATGAATGTAGAGCCAATCATCAGGTTTTGATGCGTATTAGTTTGTACTTTCAAATAATTACAATGATTAAAAAACAACATATACATTTGCATAACACTTGACCTTTGCTGGAGGTATTCAGTCAGAGGTTAGAGACCATCTATTGCAGGCATTGTAGAAGGAAAATGTTAGACCTGGTGACTTTTAAGATACATTTAAACTCCAGATTCTTTTTTCTTTTTCTTTTGGTGGTTGAGAGGACAGGGTTTCACTCTATTGTCAAGACTGGAGTGCAGTGGTGCAATCACACTTCACTGCAACCTAATTCCCAGGCTCAAGCAATCCTCCCAACTCAGCCTCTTCAGCAGCTGGGATAACAGGTGCTCACCACCATGCCTGGCTAATTTTTTTATTTATTTTTTGTAGAGACAAAATCTCACTATCTTGCCCAATCTGGTCTTCAACTCCTAGGCTCAAGTTATCCTCCCACCTTGGCCTCCCAAAGTGCTGATGTTACAGGTGTAAGCCACAGAGCCCAGCCAAAATATTTTGATGACATGAAAATACTTTGGAAATATTTATAATTTTTTTGTTATGCTTAATTTTTAGGTTAAATTTTAAACATTTTCTTAAAAAACACAATTTGTTAGTAAAATTAGAGTTTATTCTTTGAGTCTTTGAAATTTTAGTTAAGAAGCACTAAATTCTTCAATGATAATAACTCTTGCTTTAAATGTCTAAAATGAAGCCAAATGATTCACATGAATTTCATCTTACTTCATATATGTATGTGTGTGTGTGTGTTTGTGTGCATATATATTTATATATACATATATATATATGCACTTAAATTTGGAAATTAACTGGATCAGGAGAAAATTCAGTCATTTATTCTTTTATTTTTATTTTTTTAAAATTTTATTATTATTATACTTTAAGTCTTAGGGTACATGTGCACAACGTGCAGGTTTATTACATATGTATACATGTGCCACGTTGGTGTGCTGCACCCATTAACTCATCATTTAGCATTAGGTATATCTCCTAATGCCATCCCTCCCCCCTCCCCCCACCCCACAACAGTCCCTAGAGTGTGATAATGTGATGTTCCCCTTCCTGTGTCCATGTGTTCTCATTGTTCAATTCCCACCTATGAGTGAGAACATGCAGTGTTTGGTTTTTTGTCCTTATGATAGTTTGCTGAGAATGATTGTTTCCAGTTTCATCCATGTCCCTACAAAGGACATGAACTCATCATAATTTTATGGCCGCATGGTATTCCGTGGTGTATATGTGCCACATTTTCTTAATCCAGTCTATTGTTGTTGGACATTTGGGTTGGTTCCAAGTCTTTGCTATTGTGAATAGTGCCGCAATAAACATACGTGTGCATGTGTCTTTATAGCAGCATGTTTTATAATCCTTTGGGTATATACCCAGTAATGGGATGGTTGGGTCAAATGGTATTTCTAGTTCTAGATCCCTGAGGAATTGCCACACTGACTTCCACAAGGGTTGAACTAGTTTACAGTCCCACCAACAGTGTAAAAGTGTTCCTGTTTCTCCACATCCTCTGCAGCAGCTGTTGTTTCCTGACTTTTTAATGATCGCCATTCTAACTGGTGTGAGATGGTATCTCATTGTGGTTTTGATTTGCATTTCTCTGGTGGCCAGTGATGATGAGCATTTTTTCATGTGTCTTTTGGCTGCATAAATGTCTTCTTTTGAGAAGTGTCTGTTCATATCCTTTGCCAACTTTTTGATGGGGTTGTTTGATTCTTCCTTGTAAATTTGTTTGAGTTCATTGTAGATTCTGTATATTAGCCCTTTCTCAGAGGAGTAGGTTGCGAAAAGTTTCTCTCATTTTGTAGGTTGCCTGTTCACTCTGATGGTAGTTTCTTTTGCTGTGCAGAAGCTCTTGAGTTTAATTAGATGCCATTAGTCAATTTTGGCTTTTGTTGCCATTGCTTTTGGTGTTATAGACATGAAGTCCTTGCCCATGTCTATGTCCTGAATGGTTTGCGTAGGTTTTCTTCTAGAGTTTTTATGGTTTTAGATCTAACATGTAAGTCTTTAATCCATCTTGAATTAATTTTTGTATAAGGTGTAAGGAAGGGATCCAGTTTCAGCTTTCTACATATGGCTAGCCAGTTTTCCCAGCACCATTTATTAAATAGGGAATCCTTTCCCCATTGCTTGTTTTTGTCAGGTTTAATCAAATAGATGCAATAAAAAATGATACAGGGGATATCACCACTGATCCCACAGAAATACAAACTACCATCAGAGAATACTACAAACACCTCTATGCAAATAAACTAGAAAATCTAGAAGAAATGGATAAATTCCTCGACACATACACCCTCCCAAGACTAAACCAGGAAGAATTTGAATCTCTGAATAGACCAATAACAGGCTCTGAAATTGTGGCAATAATCAGTAGCTTACCAACCAAAAAAAGTCCACGACCAGATGGATTTACAGCCGAATTCTACCAGAGGTGCAAGGAGTACCATTCCTTCTGAAACTATTCCAATCAATAGAAAAAGAGGGATTCTCCCTAACTCATTTTATGAGGCCAGCATCATCCTGATACCAAAGCCTGGCAGAGACACAACAAAAAAAGAGAATTTTAGACCATTATCCTTGATGAACACTGATGCAAAAATCCTCAATAAAATACTGGCAAACCGAATCCAGAAGCACATCAAAAAGCTTATCCACCATGATCAAGTTGGCTTCATCCCTGGGATGCAAGGCTGGTTTAACATACATAAATCAATAAATGTAATCGAGCATATAAACAGAACCAAAGACAAAAACCACATGATTATCTCAATAGATGCAGAAAAGGCCTTTGACAAAATTCAACGATGCTTCATGCTAAAAACTCAATAAATTAGGTATTGATGGGACGTATTTCAAAATAATAAGAGCTATCTATGGCAAACCCACAGCCAATATCACACTGAATGGGCAAAAACTGGAAGCATTCCCTTTGAAAACTGGCACAAGACAGGGATGCCCTCACTCACCACTCCTATTCAACATAGTGTTGGAAGTTCTGGCCAGGGCAATCAGGCAGGAGAAGGAAATAAAGGGTATTCAATTAGGAAAAGAGGAAGTCAAATTGTCCCTGTTTGCAGATGACATGATTGTATATCTAGAAAACCCCATTGTCTCAGCCCAAAATCTCCTTAAGCTGATAAGCAACTTCAGCAAAGTCTCAGGATACAAAATCAATGTGCAAAAATCACAAGCATTCTTATACAGCAATAACAGACAAACAGAGCGCCAAATCATGAGTGAACTCCCATTCACAATTGCTTCAAAGAGAATAAAATACCTAGGAATCCAACTTACAAGGGATGTGAAGGACCTCTTCAAGGAGAACTACAAACCACTGCTCAATGAAATAAAAGAGGATACAAACAAATGGAAGAACATTCCATGCTCATGGGTAGGAATAATCAATATCGTGAAAATGGCCAACTGCCCAAGGTAATTTATAGATTCAGTGAAATCCCCATCAAGCTACTAATGACTTTCTTCACTGAATTGGAAAAAACTACTTTAAAGTTCATATAGAACCAAAAAAGAGCCCACATCGCCAAGTCAATCCTAAGCCAAAAGAACAAAGCTGGAGGCATCACACTACCTGACTTCAAACTATACCGCATGGCTACAGTAACCAAAACAGCATGGTACTGGTACCAAAAGAGATATAGACCAATGGAACAGAACAGAGCCCTGAGCAATAATGCCGCATATCTACAACCATCTGATCTTTGAAAATTCAGTCATTTATTAATCTGAATGTGGTTTTAAGAAATGGTATATTTCAAAATATTATATTCTCTATAAAATTTAGTGCCTTCCATAACTGTTCAACTGTCAACCTTTAAAGACATATGTACATTAAATCTTAAAAAGTGTTTGATTATTTTAAAAGAATGACAATTATGGTTTCATAGAATAAATTGTGAAGATGCTATAACTTTTTGCATTATTGCTTATAAACATTTTAGCATTTTTGTATGCCAAATGTTGAAACGTGTCCAGTACAATTTTTATTTTGGTATAAGCATATTAACACTGCCAAGATTTGTCCTCCAATAAATATAACCTGAAGTTCTGGATCAGTGATTTTAATATGGTATTAAAGTACAGCAGTGTTTAGGTATCTATGTAATTTTTTCCAATCATAGATGTATTACTTTTCTATTTCTTCCATAACAAATTACCACAAACTTAGCAATTTAAACCACACAGTTCACTGTCCTATGCTTCTGTTAATCAGAAGTCAGACATAGGTCTTAGTGAACTAAAATGAAGGTGCTGGCAAGTTTGCATTTCTTTCTGGAGGCTCCAGAAGAGAATCTGTTAATTTAATCTTTTTGTTGTTGGCAGAATTCAGTTTCTTGCACAGAGGAAGTCTTGTTTTCTGGATGGCTGTTGGCCAAGGGCTTTTCCTGGTTTCTAGAGGTCCCTCCTGCTTTGGCCTGCTTCCTCTGTCTTCCAAGCCTCCATTTTCCAAGTGATGGATTGAGTCCTTATGTACATCTCTCTAGTTGATACTTTGGCTCCCATCTTTTGCTTTTAAGGACTTATGTTATTTAATTGGGCCCACTGAAATAATCCAGGATACTTTTTCCATCTCAAGGTCATAGTCTTAATTACATCTGCAAAGTTCTTTTTCCTTGTAAGGATTAGGGCATAGATGTCTATAGGGGGCCACTATTCTGCCTTGATACAGTAGATATATAGATCAAAGTAACTGATGATTATAGAACTACTAATCATCTCTGTATCTACTTTGAAAGAGCATATGCATTAGAGATCATGTTTATATTCTCAAAATAACATTTATTATAATTCAAACTGTTGGCTCTCAAATTAGAGTTAAATTTTTATGGCTTCAAGTGTAGTTCTTTTACAACACTCTTCTCCATGAAAGGATTTTCTACTCTTTCATGTCTTCTCCTCATTACCCCTCCTTTTCCTAATTTCTGGGGCCCTAACTAACCTAATAATAATCATCATAACAACCAAAACAATAACAATAATAACAATGGTAACTCCCCTTTCCTGACAGTCTAATACAGGCCTTTATTGTGCTATAAGCACTAGTGCATCATCTTGAAGATCTATAGTAGCCCCCAAAAGCTTCACAAGTTCCCAAAATCTTCCAGATAGAAAGTCAAAAATTAAAGTCAGTCACAACTAACCACACAGTCTACAGATTTTTACAACCTTAACTTGTTTATCATTTTAAAGTGTAATTTTTGAAAATATAAATTTGAGTTAGAAGTAAAGAAAATAAAAAATGTTACATAAATTATGAATATTGGTATAATTATCTTCTTTTTATAAAATTTGTCTGTTCCTTGATTATTTAAAGACTAGTACTTCATTAAGATTTTTTCTGGAAAAAAGAGACACAGATTATTCTTATTATTTTGAAGTTTATGCTAAAATATTACTTATTTTACTAAAATGTTATTTTGTTATCTTTTGAATTTTCAATTGTATTTCTAATTATGTGCACATGTAACCCTCACGTCTTTATTACTCTGCTTTCATGATTTTGATAAAGACATACCTGAGACTGGACAGTTTACAAAAGAAAGAGATTTAATGGACTTAAAATTCCACATGGCTGGGGAGGCGTCACAATCATGACAGAAGGTGAAAGGCACATCTCACATGGTGGCAGACAAGAGAAGACAGCTTGTGCAGGGAAACCCCCCTTATAACACCATCAGATTTTGTGAGACTTATTTACTATCATGAGAACAGCATGGGAAAGACCTGCCCCCAGGTCTTTCAATTGGTTCAGTTACCTCCCTCTTACAACACATGGGAATTCAAGATAAGATTTTTGTGGGGACACAGACAAACCATATCATTCTGCCTTGACCCCTCCCAAATCTCATGTCCTCACATTGCAAAACCAATCATGACTTCCCATCGGTGCCCCAAAACTCAGTATTAACTCAGAAGTCCACAGTCCAAAGTCTCATTTGAGACAAGGCAAGCCCCTTCTGCCTTTGAGCCTGTAAAATTAAAAGCAAGTTAGTTACTTCCTAGATACAATAGGGGTATAGGGGTACAGCATACAGCTGTTCCAAATGGGAGAAATTTACCAAAACAAAGGGGCTACAGGCCCCATGCAAGTCTGAAATCCAGTAGAAAAGTCAAATCTTAAGGCTCCACTATGATCTCCTGTGAGTCCAAACCTCAAATCCAAGTCACACTGATGCAAGAGGTGGGTTCCCATGGTCTTGGGCAGCTCTGCCCCTATGGCTTTTCAGGGTACAGCCTCCTTGCTGGGTGCTTTCATGGGCTGGCATTGAGTGTCTGCAGCTTTTCCAGGTGCATGGTGCAAGCTTTCAGTGGATCCACCATTCTGGGTCTGGAGGACAGTGGCCCTCTTCTCACAGCTCCACTAAGTGGTGCCCCTGTAGGGACTCTGTGTGGGGGCTTGTACCCCACATTTCCCTTCTATACTGCCCTAGCAGAGGTTCTCCATGAGGGCCTTGCCCCTGCAGCAAACTTCTGCCTGGACATCCAGGCATTTTCATACGCCTCTGAAATCTACTTGTAGGTTCCCAAACCCCAATTCTTGATTTCTGTGTGCACTCAGGCTCAACACCACCTGAAAGCTGCCAAGGCTTGAGGCTTGTACCCTCTGAAGCCACAGCCCAATGTCTTTCTTGGCCCCTTTGAGCCACATCTGGAGCGGCAACGATGCAGGGCATGAAGTCTGTAGGCTGCACACAGCATAGGGACCCTGGGCCTAGTCCAAGAAGCCATGTTTTCCTCCTAAACCTCCAGGCCTGTGATGGGAGGGGCTGCGGTGAAGACCTCTTACATGCCCTGGAGATATTTTCCCCATTGTCTTAGGGATTAACATTTGGCTTGTCATTACTTATGCTAATTTCTGCAGCCACCTTGAATTTCTCCTCATAAAATGGGATTTTCTTTTCTATCATATTTACAGGCTGCAAATTTTCCAAACTTATATGCTCTGTTTGCCTTTTAAAACTGAATGCCTTGAACAGCACCCAAGTCACCTCTTGAATGCTTTGCTGCTTAGACATTTCTTCTATGAGTTACCCACTCATGGAGGGTGCATTTGGACCAGCGCTACCAAGAGGGTAGTCAGCCATCGCAGTGGTTGGAACTTGAGTTCCAACAAGACTTGCCACATAAACTAAAGTGCTCTTGGGTCTTAGGTAAACTTGAAAGGCAGTTTAGGCCGTAAGGACTGCCACTCCTAGGCAACTCCTTGGCCTGTGCTGAGCTCATTACCAATGGACATAGTGGGCACATGACCTAATGAGAAACCAGCTGGAGTGAATAAGGGAGTGCTTGCAGTATTTTGTTAAAACATACAGTTGTGTGCTTGGATGTCATATTCTGCAAGAGTATCAATTTTCATAGAAATGTAAGTTTTACATACCAGATCAGAGCCCTGTATGCGTCGATATGAAGTCCTTTTACAGAAAGTACATTGTCAGATTCTCGTGCTGTCCTTCCATGCCAAACTATTAAACTATGACTTTCTTAAAAAATGGTTAACGTATTTATTGAAGAAAGAGAAGAGGAAGAAGAGGAGGAGGAAGGGGGGGAGAGGATGAAGAGGAGGGAAAGGTTGAAGGGGAGGAGGAAGTAAAGAAGGAAGGAAGGAAATACAAAATCTGCTGAAATCGTTTTAACAAACACTGAGATATTTGGGGCTGGGGTGGGAAAAGGTAGCATGATTCCTATGTCCGCCAGTAGACTCAGGACACAGAAAATTGGGAGAGACTCTTGCTTTTTACTTCCAGTCAAGGACCTTTTCTACTTTCATGCTACTTATCAAAAAATCCTTCTAATTCTAGGATTAAGTCCAAAAATACCTAAGAGAATAGTGCCAATGAGACCACAGGGAGAGGCAGTCATAGTGTGTAAACAGAAAGTCCTGCAAAACTGATTAAGAAACTCTAAACAGAATCTGTTTCTAGGGATAGAGATGTATTGAAAAGCAGGACTTTTACATTGCACTCTACATTTTGTACTGTTGGGTTTGCTAAAATTTTACTATGTGCATACATTGTATTTTTTTTTTTAAGACGGTGTTTCACACTTGTCACCCAGGCTGGAGTGCAATGGCAGGATCTCGGCTCACTGCAACCTCCGCCTCCTGGGTTCAATTGATTTTCCTGCTTCAGCCTCCAGAGTAGCTGGGATTACAGGTGTGTGCCACCATTCCCGGCTAATTTTTTTATTTTTCGTAGAGACAGGGTTTCACTATGTTGGCCAGGCTGGTCTACAACTCCTGACCTCGGGTGATCCACCTGCCTTGGCCTCCCAAAGTGCTGGGATTACAGGCATGAGCCACCGCACCCAACTTACATTGTATGTTTGGTGAAGAAATGAAAACAAGTATTATAATTTTCAAGGCACAATAAAGAAATAATACTTTAAATACATGTCTGAATAATTTTATACTTCTTCGTTGCACATATCTTAATTTATAGACATTTGATTAGTGTAGGCAGAGAAAAGTGTCTGCTGATTTGTTTTATCTTTTCATTCCTAAAAGTTTCTGTAACCACTCTCATTTAGTTGATTCTTCTCAATATTAAATAAATAAAACAGTATTAACCACCTCCTTCGGGCTGGGATGGAGAGGAACCTGCAGTCTCCAAATCTCAGCTGGAATTCTCCTACCACCAAGTTTACAGCTTATAAAGGCTAAACAAAACAGAATAAAATATTAATAACTATGGTTAAGTGTAAGGAACGGAAGGAGCAGATTTCTGTGAGACAAAAAAATAGTATGTGGGAGTCTAGGTCAGAATGGGAGGCCAGGGCGTGCCTATCTAAAAACAAAAATGTCTTAAAGTGTGACCTAAGCTATGAATATAAGTTAGCTGCAGAATTGTGAAAGAATTGTTAAGGACTATATAGGAAATGGTTTTACTTCCACTTTCTCCTGAAACAGCTCTCTCTGTATCTGTCTCTGTCACACACACACACACACACACACACACACACACACACGAAACATTGAATGGGATTGCAGCAGACTTCTGAGAGTTGGAAAGTAGATGAACAAGAGGTTTTAATAAAGCAAGTAAGAGAGCCAAGAAACAAGCTAATTTGCACCAGCAGATAAAGAGGCACTAGAATTAGAATTCACCAGGTACTTCTGTAAGTAGGGACAAAGGTGAGGCTGAAAACAGGAAGCTGGGGTGAGAATCGATTCGATTCAATATACAGGTATATTTAATGCATTTTCTACTTAATGGTATTTTGAATTTATGATGAGTTTATCTGAACATAAGCCCATAAATCAAGACACATCTGGCTAAGAAAATCTTCGAGGTAATGATTCCAGAAAGTTATTTTTAAAGGGGCTGACTCAGCTGGGAGGCAGGCAACATTTTGCCCTTCCCATCATCCTCCTTAAGAATGGAGGAATGGAGGCCTTATTCTAAGGATAATAAAGAAGAAAGACACAGCGAGACCTGATCTGTGATGACTGAGGAATCTCTCTTCCAGCCCTGGATGGCTGACCTTTTCAGATTTCTTGAAAGAGAGAGAGATTGGTAGGTGGGTGGGAGAAAGCTGTTTTTTATTTGAGTTAAAGTTATTTGGATTTTCAAGTTCTTATAATTATACTATTCTGACAGAATTCTCAATGTTATATCATTTGTTTTAATACGAGGTCCTCAGTCAACATATATCTCCCTCATATTTTTGCATATTTGGAATGTCTTTAGAGTTGCATTATAAGACCCACTCTATCTTTTATGGTAGAGTTCCTCTGCAGTAAAGAGTAAATTTATTTCTATTTTCCATTTCATTGCACTCATTTTTGTTAAAACATACAATTGTGTGCTTGGATGTCATGGCAATGCTATTAAAGGTCTGAATGCATATTCTCAATTTATACTCGGTTTCTATACTTGTCATGTCCCAGACCAGCAGTGCTGTGTGCATTGCATTTCCACTAGCATCACTTTAAGGGAGATATCTATATCTCTGTCATCTATATCTTTATATATATGAATATTTTATTTTATCACAACTCGCTTGAACAACATTTAGGCAGGTGTAAAACTGCAATCTTATCTGCTCTTGGAAAGGAGAAAACAAACCAGATGCAAGTGCTTTTACTTCTGAACAATATTTTCTTCAACTTTTTTTTATGAAAGAAAGAATTTTGAAGTCATTCTGGTTTTTTTAATTAGTGTGCAATATTTTTATTTCAAACTATTTTGATTTTTCAAATTGGGTATACCTAGGTTTTTTTTGTTCCTGAAACTAAAACTGTCACCAAGATATTTAAAGATATTAGTCCATTTCAAATATAATTTTGTTGATAATGAGTAATCACATAGATTTATTCAGCTCAGGATAGTTCTCTTCTACAAGAGATTCTTTTATTTCCTTTTGTTATCTTGCTTTCCCAGTTAAATTGTTTGGATCACCAGCCTGTCTTATGTCTCACTCATGTTTTTTCTTTTCTTTTTTTTCTGATTAGGAGTGACCTTCAGTGTCACTGATTTGATTTCTCCAGTAGAAGTAAAGTTCTGCTTTAAAGCTCCGTGACCATGACATATGTTTAATCTACTGAAAAAGGCTCCTGGGAACTTTCTCCCGGTTGCTTTTATATACCCGCTTCGAAGTTAGTCTTAATAATTTCATTTGTTTTGTGTAAAAGACTTCTGCTGAATTGAGCCATTTTATAGTACTTATCTATAATAAGTGAGTTTAAACTTACTAGAGATTCTTTTCAAATTTGCTAACAAATTTACTGTGTAGTTTTAGGATACACATAAAATTTTACCAAAAGCAGTTTCCTGCTTTGCACATTCAGGGGCTGTATTTCCTTTCCTTTGTATAATCTTCCACCTTTTCTATAATTTTATCTTTCTGGTATAATCTTGGTGTAAGTTTATAAAGCATTCTTCAACAAGGAAGTACTAAGGAGATTGAATCAATAAATAGATACGCATTCAGCAACATTTTTCATTCAGACTTTATGTGCATTTATTATTCCTAATTTAACATTTATTGAGTGCTAAGAATCATTTTCTGTTTGGAACAGAGAAGTAGATGTTATCTCTTCTCAGCAGGCTTATATCTTCATGGATAATTCCAATTTTAAATAGTCTCAAAAGTTAACCCTCACTGTCAGATAAACCAAAGGAGAAAAAAAATACGATAAAGTTTTAACAAACTTTGTATTAAAATTCATTTCTGCCCATAAAATCCTGATCTTATGTTTGCATAGAGATTAGAATCTTGCTAAATGTGTGATTGACATGCCAGAGTATTAACTAAAAGATATGATTTTGATATATGCAGTATAGCATTATAGGATTGAACTCTAAGTGAATTCCGTTAAAACTGGGTTGAACAGAATAAGCTATCTGACCCAGATACAAAGTCATTTGTATTTCAAAGCATTCCAGATAATCTTGGTCTGTTTCATTGTTGCTGTAAACACTCAGTTATAGTTTCAAGTGGGCTATAGCATCCATTTTAGTTCAGAAATTCAGTAACTTACCTAGTGTATCCTAAGAAAGTCAGATTCTGGAGGTAATTCTCTAATCTATACACATTACTTGACAGTCACTAATTAGGTATAATATTTTTATTTTTTTATTTATTATTATACTTTAAGTTTTAGGGTACGTGTGTATGACGTGCAGGTGAGTTACATATGTATACATGTGCCATATTGGTGTGCTGCACCCATTAACTCGTCATTTAACATTAGGAAGATCTCCTAATGCTATCCCTCCCCCTCCCCCCACCCCACAACAGGCCCTGGTGTGTGATGTTCCCCTTCCTGTGTCCATGTGTTCTCATTGTTCAGTTCCCACCTATGAGTGAGAACATGCAGTGTTTGGTTTTCTGTCCTTGTGATAGTTTGCTGAGAATGATGGTTTCCAGGTTCATCTATGTCCCTACAAAGGACATGAACTCATCATTTTTTATGGCTGCATAGCATTTCATGGTATATATGTGCCACATTTTCTTAATCCAGTCTATCATTGTTGGACATTTGGGTTGGTTCTAAGTCTTTGCTATTGTAAATAGTGCCACAGTAAACATACATGTGCATGTATCTTTATAGCAGCATGATTTATAATCCTTTGGGTATATACCCAGTAATGGGATGGCTGAGTCAAATGGAATTTCTAGTTCAAGGTCCCTGAGGAATCGCCACACTGACTTCCACAATGGTTGAACTAGTTTACGGTCCCAGCAACAGTGTAAAAGTGTTCCTATTTCTCCACATCCTCTCCAGCAGCTGTTGTTTCCTGACTTTTTAATGATCACCATTCTAACTGGTGTGAGATGGTATCTCATTGTGGTTTTGATTTGCATTTCTCTGGTGGCCAGTGATGATGAGCATTTTTTCATGTGTTTTTTGGCTGCATAAATGTCTTCTTTTCAGAAGTGTCTGTTCATATCCTTTGCCCACTTTTTGATGGGGTTGTTTTTTTCTTGTAAATTTGTTTGAGTTCATTGTAGATTCTAGATATTAGCCTTTTGTCAGATGAGTAGGTTGCAAAAATTTTCTCCCATTCTGTAGGTTGCCTGTTCACTCTGATGGTAGTTTCTTTTGCTGTGCAGAAGCTCTTGAGTTTAATTAGATCCCATTTGTCAATTTTGGCTCTTGTTGCCATTGCTTTTGGTGTTTTAGACATGAAGTCCTTGCCAATGCCTATGTCCTGAATGGTATTGCCTAGGTTTTCTTCTAGGGTTTTTATGGTTTCAGGTCTAACAAGTAAGTCTTTAATCCATCTTGAATTAATTTTTGTATAAGGTACAAGGAAGGGATCCAGTTTCAGCTTTCTACATATGGCTAGCCAGGTTTCCCAGCACCATTTATTAAACAGGGAATCCTTTCCCCATTTCTTGTTTTTGTCAGGTTTGTCAAAGATCAGATGGTTGTCGATATGGGGCATTACTTCTGAGGGCTCTGTTCTGTTCCTTTGGTCCATATCTCTGTTTTGCTACCAGTACCATGCTGTTTTGGTGACTGTAGCCTTGTAGTATAGTTTGAAGTCAGGTAGCGTGATGCCTCCAGCTTTGTTCTTTCGGCTTAGGATTGTCTTGGCAATGTGGGCTGTTTTTTGGTTCCATATGAACTTTAAAGTAGTTTTTTCCAATTCTGTGAAGAAATTCATTGGTAGCTTGATGGGGATGGCATTGAATCTATAAATTACCTTGGGCAGTATGGCCATTTTCACGATATTGATTATTCCTATCCATGGAATGTTCTTCCATTTGTTTGTATCCTCTTTTATTTCATTGAGCAGTGGTTTGTAGTTCTCCTTGAAGAGGTCCTTCATGTCCCTTGTAAGTTGGATTCCTACGTATTTTATTCTCTTTGAAGCAATTGTGAATGGGAGTTCACTCATGATTTGGCTCTCTGTTTGTCTGTTATTGTTATGTAAGAATGCCTGTGATTTTTGCACATTGATTTTGTATCTTGAGACTTTGCTGAAGTTGCTTATCAGCTTAAGGAGATTTTGGTGCTGAGACAATGGGGTTTTCTAGATATACAATCATGTCATCTGGAAACAGGGACAGGTTGACTTCCTCTTTTGCTAATTGAACACCCTTTATTTCCTTCTCCTGCCTGATTGCCCTGGCCAGAACTTGCAACACTATGTTGAATAGAAGTGGTGAGAGAGGGCGTCCCTGTCTTGTGCCAGTTTGTAAAGAACATGCTTCCAGTTTTTGTCCATTCAGTATGATATTGGCTGTGGGTTTGTCATAGATAGCTCTTATTATTTTGAGATACGTCTCATCAATACCTAATTTATTGAGAGTTTTTAGCCTGAAGCGTTGTTCAATTTTGTCAAAGACCTTTTCTGCATCTATTGAGATAATCATATGGTTTTTGTCTTTGGTTCTGTTTATATGCTGGATTACGTTTATTGATTTGCGTATGCTGAACCAGCCTTGCATCCCAGGGATGAAGCCAACTTGATCATGGTGGATAAGCTTTTTGATGTGCTTCTGGATTCGGTTTGCCAGTATTTTATAGAGGATTTTTGCATCGATGTTCATCAGGGATATTGGTCTAAAATTCTCTTTTTTTGTTGTGTCTCTGCCAGGCTTTGGTATCAGGGTGATGCTGGCCTCATAAAATGAGTTAGGGAGGATTCTCTCTTTTTCTATTGATGGGAATAGTTTCAGAAGGAATGGTACCAGCTCCTCCTTGTACCTCTGGTAGAATTCAGCTGTGAATCCATCTGGTCATGGATTTCGTTTGGTTGGTAAGCTATTAATTATTGCCTCAATTTCAGAGCCTGTTATTGGTCTATTCAGAGATTCAACTTCTTCCTGGTTTAGTCTTGGGAGGGTGTATGTGTCGAGGAATTTATCCATTTCTTCTAGATTTTCTAGTTTATTTGCGTAGAGGTGTTTATAGTATTCTCTGATGGTAGTTTGTATTTCTGTGGGATCAGTGGTGATATCCCCTGTATCATTTTTTATTGCATCTATTTGATTCTTCTCCCTTTTCTTCTTTGTCTTGCTAGCCGTCTATCAATTTTGTTGATCTTTTCAAAATACCAGCTCCTGGATTCACTGATTTTTTGAAGGGTTTTTTGTGTCTCTATTTCCATCACTTCTGCTCTGATCTTAGTTATTTCTTGCCTTCTGCTAGCTTTTGAATGTATTTGCCCTTGCTTCTCTAGTTCTTTTCATTGTGATGTTAGGGTGTCAATTTTAGATCTTTCCTGCTTTCTCTTGTGGGCATTTAGTGCTATAAATTTCCCTCTAAACACTGCTTTGAATGTGTCTCAGAGATTCTGGTATGTTGTGTCTTTGTTCTCATTGGTTTCAAAGAACATCTTTATTTCTGCCTTCATTTCATTATGTACCCAGTAGTCATTCAGGAGCAGGTTGTTCAGTTTCCATGTAGTTGAGCGGTTTTGAGTGAATTTCTTAATCCTGAGTTCTAGTTTGATTGCACTGTGGTCTGAGAGACAGTGTGTTATAATTTCTGTTCTTTTACATTTGCTGAGGAGTGCTTTACTTCTAAATAAGTGGTCAATTTTGGAATAAGTGGGGTGTGGTGCTGAGAAGCATGTATATTCTGTTGATTTGGGGTGGAGAGTTCTGTAGATGTCTATTAGGTCCACTTGGTGCAGACCTGAGTTCAAATCCTGGATATCCTTGTTAAGTTTCTGTCTCGTTGATCTGTCTAATGTTGACAGTGGGGTGTTAAAGTCTCCCATTATTAGGTGTAATATTAATGTAGATTAAAGCTGATCAAAATAATAAAGAATGTTTATTGACTAAAAGCAAGCTCTACCTCTGTATGCACCATTTTTATCCTATTGCAACCTGAAACTACATTCTTGATTCTGACCAAATACAAAAATTGAATTACGAGAATGAAGTATCAGGCAGATAGCTATCGATGCTTTACAATTTTATATGATAGTCTGTCTTCTAATGAAGCTGATGTGGTATTTGCAATTTGCAATTGATCTGGTATTTGCAGTATTGAAAGCAGAAAATACTTAAAGACAAAACAAAATACATCGTAAATTGTAGAACTTCAAAAAAGTAATTGATTCAGTTAATTTCATTGATCTTCTCTAAGTTACATATTTACAGGTAAAGAAAGATTAGCACTCAGGTCTCTTGAAATTTAAACAATCTCATAATAGTCTAAGATTGGTATGTCCAATTCAGTTCTGCAAGCATGCCTTTTTCTGAGGAATAGCTGATTACTAGTAAATTAGCATGTAAATAAATCACAATACTTCATGTGAGTGAGCCCATAAACTTGAAGGGTACCTGGCAAATCATCAGTCTCAAGCAAAGATATCATATTGGGTACCTTCGTCTTCAAGGGATGGGGATGCGTGATTCAAATATGCTTAATGATAAGAAAATTTATTACCTCCTTCTACAAGAAGTCTAAAGATAGGGGAGACTCCAGGTACAGTACATAAGCTCTCTGGCTCTCCTGGTTGTCATAATTCTGTTAGTTTTACTTTCATTGCTCAGCTTCAGTGCTAGCTTGGTGGAAATTAAGCAGTTCCAGACATTGTATACAGCAATGCCAATGTCCTGGAAACAACAGAGGTCAGTTATTCTGTGTCTCATAGGCAAGGAATGTTTCTGAGGAATTCTTTTATAGCAAACCCTCCTCACTTCCTATTAAAAAGAACTAAGTCATTTGACCTTCCCTAAACCATTCACTGCAAAGAGATTTCAGCTGCCATGGAGGGAGATTGAAAATGGAATCACAGCAACCACTGCAGAATGTCATTTGTATAGCATAAGCCTACATGTAGAAAAAGGTATCTTAAGTTGAGCTTTTTAGAAGTGGTACACTGATACTCTCTTTACCCTTTTTTCGAGGCAGGATCTCACTCTGTCACCCAGGCTGTAGTACAGTGGTTGAGACATTGGCTGACTGCAACCCCAACCTCCCAAGCTCAAACGATCCTCCCACCTCAACCTCTCCAGTTGCTGGGATTACAGATGCATGCCATGATGCCCAGATGGTTTTTTATTTTGTGTAGAGACGGGGTCTCACTATGTTGCCTAGGATCGTCTTGAACTCCTGGGCTCAAGCCATCCTCCCCCCTTGGTCTTTCAAAGTGCTTGGATTGCAGATGTGAGCCACCATTCCTAGCCTGTATCTTTGCCTGTTTAGAAATAACATGCTGTTATTCTCTAGTGGTTATCTTTTCTTTTACTTTTTGGTTTGGGGCCTTATAAATACGTTTATTTCAATTACTGCTTTCCTTATATTTTTGTCTGATATAGTCTCTATGAATCTCATACCTCTCTGCTTTATGTTTTTACTTACAATTTCATGTATAAACAGAGATGTTGTTCTTTTCTTTTCTTTTCTTTTTTTTTGAGATGGAGTTTCACTCTTGTCGCCCAGGCTGGAGTGCAATGGTGTGATCTCAGCTGACTGCAACCTCCGCCTCCTGGGTTCAAGTGGTTCTTGTGCCTCAGCCTCCTGAGTAGCTGGGATTACAGGCGCCCACCACCACGCCAAGCTAATTTTTTGTATTTTTTGTAGAGATGGGGTTTCACCATGTTGGCCAGGCTGGTCTCGAACTCCTCACCTCAGGTGACCTACCCACCTCGGCCTCCCAAATTGCTGGGATTACAGGTGTGAGCCACTGCGCCTGGCCTTTGATAGTTTGTCTTTCACCTTGAAATGTAAAAGTTTAAACTTTTTGAACTTCTAATACTTAAAAATTCGTTTTTGAACGTCCAATTCTTAAAAAAATGGCATCTTATAGTACTTAAAAAATAAAACCGGGCTGTTTTTTATCAAATTCCTTGGATTATTTTGTGCATTTTTAGTTATTTGGGATAATTTATTGTTTTGATTTAACAGTGTTTTAGGATATACTACCGAAAATTCACATAGTTTGATAAATTTTTCCTGTATTTTCCTCACTACCCTTCCTTTTGGAGAGGGGTTATGGGCACTGCAGAGGTGAATTTGCCAAATTTAGTAAGTGTAAAATTTGAAGTAACTTGGAGTTATGGTTCCATTCTTAGATATAAAAAATCCAAGGCCTGGTCATAAAATTTGGCCCTGCTAAAAGCTATCAAAAAAAAAAAAAAAAAAAAGAAGCTATTCAGTAGCACTGTATAAACTGAATCTACAGACAGTGATGTATTATGTAAAATTTGTCACTGGTCCCTGATGAAATAAGTGCAGAAATTGAGGAAAACTATTTAGTTCATTGGATTTGCTGGACAGAGCATGACCAATTTGTATATTGTAGACCCCACAAGGTCAGTTGATGTTGGAGTGAGTAGCAGACTGTCATGTTACACAATGTCTTAAAGCTGTTTTGTCACCTGTAACCCAAAAGTATTAAAATTCCAGAACCAATTTATTTCAACAGAAGACAATTGAAATGTAGCTATAACTTTATAGGATAAACTATGGTAACTAGCTACTGATGAGATAGTAAAAACTACAACATATACAGATTTTGTCATTTTCTTTTTCCTGTATTGTTTTAAAAAAATTTGCAACTATTACTTTGCATGTCTGTTTTTATTTTATTCTTTTAGTTATTTATTTTTCGATTTTAATAAAATATTAGTCTATAATAGGTTAGGGGAAAAACTGATTCTCTACTACAAATACTTCGAGAAGGTCTACCCTAAGGAACAGAGTTATATCCATTCTAATCTTACATGAGATTAGTGAGTAATGAAAATACAAATACCTGTAAAATGTGTATTAGTCCATTCTCACACTGCTATGAAGAACTACCCAAGACTGGGTAATTTATATATAAAAGAGTGACTCACGGTTAATTGACTCACAGTTCCACATGGCTGGGGAGGTCTCAGGAAGTTTACAATCATGGCAGAAGCCACCTACTCACAGGGCGGTGGGAGAGAGAATGAGTGCCAAGCGAAGGTGGAAGCCTTTTGTAAAGCTACCAGATCTTGCGAGAACTCATTCACTATCATGAAAACAGCATGGGGGAAATTGTCCCCATGATCCAATCACTTCGCACCAGGTTCCTCCCATGACACATGGAGATTATGGGAACTACAATTCAAGATGAGATTTGGGTGGGATCAAAGCTAAACCAAAATGAAATTCAGCTTTGAAATGAAATGAAAAGAAACAAGAAATAGTTGTATAGATTGTGTCTGCAAAGATCTCTAGAAGAAGTTACTACTCCCCTCCCAGCAGACACTAATCATAACTCCCACTACCCCCTATACTTTTCTTTATAAACCCAGTGGGTGTGGGGAAAGAGGAGAATCAAATGACTATGCTATAACGTAGAGTTGTAATAGATGTAGATGAATGGAGGAGCATGACATTAGAGAAGAGGCATATAAGGAGGGGAAACAAGACTATATAGTCAAGGGAGGGGGAAAAAAGCCAAAAATAGTGATTACCAGCAAAAATAATTAACTTATCCTTCACTCTACTGAGAAGGTCTCAGCATCTTATGTCCCTTGGGTAGGAAGCAGGCTATACAAGAATTAAGTGCTTCTTAGACTATGATTTCCCCAAGGCAGTCAAGTTTTTGAAAATATATCAAATTTGTTGGGAAGATAGTTCCAGAAAGACTAGAGTGGAGAGAGGCCAGGTGGAAAGAGAATGCTGGAAGCTTTTATGGTGCAGGAGATGTGATGAGTCCTGAGGAACTTGTAGCCTGAACTTGGAAGGCCAGTCACACCATCTTCTAGCAGGAGTAGTCTAGAAAAAAAAAAAGAATGCTAGTGAGAGAGTGGTATATATGGGTTAGGTAACTTGATTTGTATTCTCAGATGGTGCAAATATGCTCAACTAATTTACTTTTTGATTAAAAAAATAATATTTAAGAACTCACTTTGTACCAGGTATGTGCAAATTGCTTAGTAAAGCTTATTTTACTTAATGTACGTAACAGTCGCATCACCTGTGATATTTTCTCTATTTCATAGATAAAGAAACTGAAGCCTGGAACTTTGTGGCTATTAAATGGTCTTAAATACTGTTAACCACTATATTATTCTGCTTCATAACAATTAAAATACATCTTTATATGTCTTTAGGTTAAGAGTTCTTGTTTTACATTTCAGATACCACAAAAGTTTGGCAAGTAGGAAGGAATACTACATTGTGGCCACATTCTGAAATGTATTGCCCTGGGAGAATACATGAACAGTTTAACAAATAGGAGTTCTACCCATGTTGAAGGCAAATAATAGGGTAAATATATGGGACAAATGTAGGACTTCAGAAAATTAGAGACATGTTAGAGTGACTATTTCAAAACAATATTTTGAATGTATTTATTATCTCAATACCACCTATGAAAGGAGATACCTTTAATTAATTTCCCAGTGGAAGAAATTGGAAGAAAAACATTAACTTTCTTGAGCATTGACTATTTATACAGGGGACAGTATGCTTAAGTGCATGGCTGCCTTGGACTTCCAACATTAGAACTGGGAGGTTGCTTCTATCTTCTGCCCTTGGAAGGCATGTTACATGGATTAGGATCCTCTTTCCCCCTGAGTTCAGACTTAACTTCAAAAATCTCAGGAATTGGCACACCAAAATGCCATTATCTATCAGTAGATTATAGCCGATCCAAGAGATGACACCTATTACCGTCTTTGTGTTAGGGGCATCCCAAACAAGGCTTCATTCTCAGTTGTGTAATTTAAGTTTTAATATAGAATTGACAAATAACTATGTAAATTTTGAGCAGAATATTGCTGTAATAAATATAATGTCAGTTGCCTTCAATGTTTTTCGAAGCCATTCCAAGCACAGGAAGTCTGCAACAAAATTTTTTTTATGACTTCCTCAGTATTTGAGCACATTTCATTCAATTTTGACCGTCAACTTCATTTTGCTTTTGAACTCTGAAAAGAACAAAGCCTCAAGTGGAGCAAAGAGAAAGATATAGTTTTGTTTAAACATAGTTTGTTGCTGTTGTTGTTAAACACATCTCTTTTGTTAAACACATTTTTGACAAACAGCGATGAGCCCTAAGAAGAAGAAACTTGATACTGTGAAAAATAGATATGTTTTTACATATCTGGTTCATTTGCCTGTTGTAATCCCCTCAAATAATTGATAAAGAAATATTTGTGTTTTGATTATTGGCCTGGCTGCTTTTTCTGCTTCAGTCCCTTAACTGCAAGTAAATGTTTATTTCTTATAAAAAGATACAGAATATGGATTTTATAACAGTGTCAACTCCTCATGCATAACACATTACATGGCCAGTTCCATAAGGCACTACTAAATTGCTGAGAAGAGAAAATTACATTTGGATGAGTGCAAACTAATGTTGAATGAAAAATTATATCTCCAACTTTTAATAAATTGACTAGAGAACATGTACAACATGTTTTAAAAATCTAAATCCTTTAGCTATAGTTTCATCGAAACCTCAAATCTATTGTATTTGTCATGCTCCTCTGAAGGCTAATAACTAGCTTTATTGAAAACACAATGGCATGTTTATAGTCCTGTCACTGAAATGTTGTCACTGAAAGGCAGCTGAGGGACTCCCAGACAAGCACCGTCGACAGAGCACACTACCAGCCTTTTCTGTCGATTCTACAGTCTGTAGATGATCTGAGTTCTTTCTCTTCCTAAGCCTTTATATGAGTACCACAGCCCTCAGACAGAAGGTATAATATCAGATTTTTTTAATATAGGCTAGTCCAGTATAGGATTTGATGAAGTAGTAGTTTACAAATATGATACAAATGAGATTTGATGATTTGTGGACCTCAATCAGTCTCCCCGTCCTGCAGTCTTATGAGATGCCTGTGCACTGCTTATGGCATTCCAAGTAGTATTTTTGCATATTTTAAATAAAGTTTATAATGTTCAAAGACATAGCCATCTGTCATGCTTATATAATTTGGATTTCTATGACTGGTCCTTTATAAAATGTGTACAATAATTTAGAAAGCTGGAAGAGTGGATCGTTCCTTATCTGGGATAAAACGAGATTCAAAACCCTTTCTTCCAACTCAAAAGGTCCGGAACACATACTGTTTATCTTGAGACCATTTAAACTCTTAATTAAAATCAGTTTTCCTTATAAATTTCCTCCATAGTCTGCTTCGGAGTTGCATTAAATCAACCCTGAATTTAGAAAATCTTAAAACAGTGGTTTTTCGATCTAATGTTTGTCTTAATGCACATGCTTTGAGTCCATGCAATTTATATTTTAGCATGGTCTTCTGAAGAATTTTTGATCAAGTCTGGCCATGTTATTGTTCTCAGCTAATTCATATATACATTACAATTAAGTTCAATAAAAGCAATTTAATCAGAAATTGGAAATGAGTTTCAACAAAATCTACAGCAATCAGTTCTTTTCTGCTGACACTGCTATGAAAACAGGATTGTGAGGCACAGAATGAGTTAGCTGTATGTATTAGAATATCTTTTCATATGATTTAGAGCAAAATTTACAAAACCAGCATTTAAAAGTAAAAGTAATTTTTTGCTAGATTTAATAATCCATAAGTCTGGTCTCCTTAAATAATTTTGTTCAGTATTGCAATATATTTTAAATGCCTCATAATTATTAATTTTTAAATAACACCTGGACATCTATCAATGTGATAGATGTGTTTTTTACATCGGAGATGTCAATGTAATGTTATCAATGTGATGTTATTTACATCAGAGATAAAAAGAGGTAAAAATCTGTGGACTTTTTTTAAATGCATGGAGCATTATTATAGAGAAAGGTGTACAAGCAATAAGATAAATACATAAAAATTTATAACACATTATTGACAAATGTTGAGAGATAAAGTCAAATAGGGAAACGGTTGTGTGGGCAGGAGAACAGGGGTTGTGATTCTTCCTGGAGTAGCCTTACTGAAAAGATTATTTCAGAAGGAAGCTATGGATTAAAAATGAATGTATCTGGGCAGAGCAAGAATTCTAGGCAGTGGAAACAGCAGCTGCAAATCCCCTGAGATGGTTTATTGTCTCATATTTGAAGGAGTAGAAAGGTGGTCAACCTTTCTGACTGGAGGAGAGGAAATAAGATATCAGAGGTCAGGGGCAAAGTTAAGAGGTGAGATCAGTGAAGCAACAGAGAGGGCTGATCTTCCTGGGTCTTGATAGTCACATAAAGATGTTGATATTCATTCTGAAAGGTACAAAAGCTACTGGAAAGTTTTGAACTCAAGAGTGAAATGATCTCATAATTTTATAGTATCAGTCTTACTAAGAAATAAGTTCGAAAGTTATCACTGTAATTTAGTGGAGAGAAGAGAGTATCTTGAAACAGGATCCTGGGTTTGTAGCCACCTTTGCAAAGATTACAATGGTAAGAAAAATCTAGCATGGCTGACTCCACTTTGCATCTAGCCTCACCAGCTGGCTTTCCTTGCTCATTCCTGGATGTAGACCAAGCTAACCAAGGAAAGAATTAAGTTTAGAGTTTAAATTTGAAGTAAGAATAATAGTCCCTCCCTTAGACTAATGCCCTTTTTGCTTGGGACCAAAACCACCTTTGTATGACTAATGAAAGGCCATGAGAATAGAATTATGGAAGGGGCTTGAGGTCTGCTAAGATGTAGGTGTGGTGTTTCAGACTTTTGTATTCTGGCAATTGACTGACCCAACCTGGACACATGACTCATGACTCAACTAGTCCTGTGGTTTCCACCCACAGGCAGACAATGCACAGTAACTGTTTTCCATGTTGCTATGATTTCATCCCAACTGATCAGCAGCACCCATTTCCTAGCTCTCTGCCCACAAAATTGTAATAAAACTCTAGCTTCTGAGTTCACAGGAGATTGGTTTTAGTAATAACTCTAGTTCTACTTGGCTAGCTCTGCATTCATTAAACTCTTTCTCTACTGCAATATCCCAGTCTTACCAAATTGTTTTATTTGTGCAGCGAGGAAGAAGAACCCATTGGGTGATTACAGTTGGAGGTAATAAGAAGTGATTTATTTCTGGACACACATTTTTTGCTTTTGTTTATTGAGGTAAAATTCACATAGCATAAAATTAATCATTCTAAAATGTGACATTTAGTGACGTTTAGTACATCCATCTCTCTCTAGTTTCAAGACACTTTACACATTCCAAAAGAAAACCCCATGCCCTTTAAGCAGTAATGTCCCATACCCTCCTCCTCTCCTTCCCCTGGTACCACTAATCTGCTGTCTGCCTCTCTGAATTTGCCTATTCTGGACATTTCATATAAATGGAATTACACAGCTAAAAGAAAAACTTTAGACAAATTATATTCAACAGCATTTATTTGAACAATGAACAATTCATGAATCAGACAGCACTCAGAACTAAGAGAGGTTGAGAGAGCTCCACCCAGCAGCATGAGCAGCAAGCTCACAAAAACAAACTAATGAAATCATCGGATTAGCTACAGCTAGGTGTTTGCCTTATTTGGGCATGGACTGACTGTGACCCGCTATTTGTCCCTGGCTGACTTTTGGCTGTTTTTTTTTTGCAGAAATGTACATAATCCTAAGATAGATTTTGGAGTATTCCTTAGAAACTCAAAATATGGGACAGTCTCAGGTCAATGACTTTCTGCTAATTTAATCCAAATATAAAATATGTGGCCTTTGTGACTGGCTTCCTTTGCTTAGAATAATGTTTCTAGGTTCATCCATGTTGCAGCATATATCAGTAATTAATTCCTTTTAATGACGGAATGATATTCCATTGTTTGGATACAAGACATTTATCTTTTCATCAGTTGATGGACAATATATTGTTTCTACGTTTTGACTATTTTGAACAGTGCTCTGGATACATTTTAAAATTGGAGTCAATAGGATTGTCTAATACACTGGAAACAGAGTATGAAAGAGAGAGAGAAATCAAACACCATGTATTTTAGCCTGAGCAGTGTAGACCAGCAGTAACCACCACTAGAAAGGATAAATCTGTGAGATTATAAATCTTCAACTTGATAGGGGAGATTTAATAGCAGTGACTCAGTTGGGACCTAAAAATTTCCAGATGTCAATTCCAAGTGGATGTATCATAGAGGCAGATGGATATATGATTCTGGAGTCCAGGAAATTGTCATTAGGTCATTAGGTGGTACGTGAAGCTATGAAAATGTACTAGATGCTGCAGGGACTTAGTGTGGAGAGAAAAAAAAAAGAAAGATTTTTTGAAGGTTAATTTTTGAGGCCTCCCAATATTTAAAAATTAGGGAAATGAATCAGAAACAATAAAGGAAACTGACTATAAAGTGGTCAGAATAGGTAGACAGAAAACAAGAACATTATGTAGTAAGAATTCAATATAGATGATGAAAATAACATGATATGCAAATTGTTAAATTCATTGAACAAAATATATTTATGCTTATTTTGGCTTTGGTATCTCTGACACAGTTAAAAATTACTGATGATTTACTGATACAATAATAAAGGAAGATGCAACTGCTGTATTTAAATGAGTACACTGTTTTAAAATAGATTTTATTGTTGAAATGGAAGCAGCAAGAAATAGATTTTACTAGTTTTAATATTTAATTAAAGTTAATTCTGACAGTCACATTTCTGTTGTTGAAGCATCAGGGAGGGCAAAAACTAATATGTCATATGAAGGAATGAGTCTTCTGATCTAGGCATACTGGATTCATTCCATAAAACAGAGAAATGATCCTTGGGTGAATCAGTTGGAGCCTGACTCTGTTAATCCAGTGTGATAAAGTTAGAATCAACCCAATTTTGTTCCAGTGTTTTAGAAACAAAGCACTGTAGAGAGGCACCTGGGTTATTAGTAAGGAAAATTATCATGGAGCCACTTTGATCTGTACAGTTCCAGTTTTGCATTTTTAAATCCACCTTGACAACTAGTAGTTCTTCTTTTACTCTCAAAAGCATCCCATTTTGGAAGATACATGATTATACTTATTCTAAGGAAATATAACGGGTGGATAACAAACACAAAAGGTAGTCTTGATGCTGTCTCATTTGCCCAAGGAAATAGAACCCATTCCGAACTGTCAAATTATGGAATGTAACCCACATTTTTGTGAGCGAAGAAATATTTTTGAGATTTATTCCTTTCAAGGTTTTCATATAATTGAAATTTCTTTTTCCAAGGAAGACTATCACCAGAACTGTGACATTTACACCACAAATTTGCCAATATTCAATCGTGATCGTTAGAAAAGAGAAATTTTATATAACCCAAACTAAGTCAAAGCTGTATATATATATATATATTAGTAATTTCTTACTCTATCTTAAATATCTCATATTTAAAACATAACATCAGCTACCCCGTCAAACAGATTTAATCCCTTTTCTTTTTATAGACGGAATTGTTTTTACCAAATATTTTATTTATTCCTAACGTTTAGTCTAATATGTAGGCAGATACGTTTTCTTTAATTGAGTAACTTTGCATCTGATGATATTTTCTAATTCCTGAAGACATAATGCCGTCAGTCCACAGTATACATTAATAAACTCCATCCTGCTAGAGCACATGGAGTGTAAAGTGAAGATGCTCCTTCAGGCACATGGAAGAGTTCCATCTCCATCCAGAGTGTCCACATAACCACCCATCCAGAAATATGTCCATCTGGATGAGAAATCAAAAAACCACAAATGACAACCACAGAGTCAGTAGGAGAGAGAAATGGATGGGCAAGGAGTAAAAATGTACCTTACCTCCAGTGTCTGTGAAGAGTTTTTAAAAGAAAAAGAAAGGAAAGCTTTATTTAGTGAATGTCTGCTAAGGGTCAGACACTGAGAAGCATTTTCCAGATGAAGGAGCAAGCTGGAAGACATAGAATACCTGCTTATAGATAGAGGTGGTGAAGCCATAATTCCAGAATCTGCCCAATATGACTTCAAATCTAAAATTTTTGTCCTGAACTGTGTACTGATTTGTGGTTAATTGTATTTATAGCTAATGAATATTTGTGAAATAATAAATGGCAATTTCTAAAACATTTCCCACTCATGTACAACTATACCTGAAAAGTTTGCAAGTCAGAGTATTCAGGATATGGAAGAATGAACACTACACAGCAGTAATATTTTTTGGCCGTCATCCATGCCCCCAGTATTGAAGGAAATAAAAATTGGTGCTATATTCCAGTATTACTTGTTATTCAGCAGAGCACAAACTATTGATTACTTGGATATTGAGAGGATAATGTACCCAAACAAGTGTTGATGAGGAAATCTGGTCTCACAAAGAGATGCCTTCTTACAACTCATTAGAAAAGCAGACCTATAATATAGATTTGGAAAGTATATGCCTATTAGGCTGCATAGAAGCAATTTATATATTTTTTATTTAAATTTTTTAATTGATACATAATATTTGTACATATATATGGGGTATATGTGGTATTTTGCTACAAACATACAATGTGTAATGATCAAACCAGGGTACTTAGTGTATCTTTCTCTTTATCATTTCTATCTGTTAGAAACATTCCAAATCTTCTTTTCTAGCTACTTTGAAATACACATTTTTGTTAACCAGTCACCCTAGTTTGATATTGAACATTAAAACTTATTCCTTTTATCTAATTCTATGTTTTTACCTATTAACCAATCTCTCTTCCCTCCCCTCCCACTCACCCACACATCCTCCCAAGCCTCTGATGTCTGTGATTCTACTCTCTGCCTCCAGGAGATTATCTCTTCTAGCTCCCACATAATAGTGAGAACATCCAATATTTGTCTTTCTTTCTGGGTCTGGCTTGTTTCACTTTAACATAATGACCTCCAGTTGTATCCCTGTGTCTGCAAATGACATAATTTCATTTTTATGGCTAAATAGTATTCCATTGTGTATTCATTTTCTTTACTTATTTCTTTATTCATTTAATTTTGAAATGTTTGCCTAGACAAGCCAGATGATTGTTGTAGGAATCATACAATCCAGCTCTACTCTGCCCCGTTGAGATTATCCCTACCATCTGGGGATTGTCACAATACATGACAATCATGGAGAAATGTTCATGGAGAAATGTTTTTGTTTGAATTTTTAATTCCAAATACAACCAGTGCTGGATGCGACTGTGAGTTACACTTGCGTGCATACAGTCAGGCTGACATGTTACCTAGTTCCATTACTAGGACTAATCCAGTGGTTGTTTCTTTCTTTTTCTTTTTTTTTATGCTTCAAGTTCAGTGGTTGTTTCTTTGTCCTACCACTCTTACTGAGCAGTTGGAAGACAACTAACTCACAGAAAATGAACAAAAGGTTCACAAGGATTGCTCCAAAGAATAAACAGATTAAAGATAATGCTAATCTTTTAAAAGCAAGCAAAGGATCAAATAGTGGAGTTCTCATTTCACCTCCATGGAGTATGAGCTCTCAATCAAACTGAGACGTAAAAAAAACAATGACCCATTAAGTACTCAAAAAAAAAAAAACTTGAAAATATTGAGTACCATATAACATGTCAAATAATGACTACTTGAAATATTTATTTACAACTACCTGATTAATATAAACTCAGCTTTACCTGATGCTTTGAGGTATTAGCAAGTGAAATATGAAATAAGTATTCAGATGACTTTTAACTCAGCATTCATAAAATGAAGATAAATCTCTGTAATTTTTAAGTTATATTTAAAGCCGTTTAATGCTCAATTCGTAATTTACAAAATTTAACTAAATGTAATGATAAAAACTAAAATACACTTTTGAGATTTCTTTCTAAATAACTAAGAAACAGAATGCCATTTTGGGAAATACATTCTTCCCGTTAAAATAATAGTGTAAGAAGCTATATGGTGACAAGCTAGCATTTTATCAACAAATATATTGTTGAAGATTTGAAGAAACTAGTACTGAAACAAATTACAGTCCACATTGTTTGCTATACAGCTGAAACTGCAGCTTAAATAATGGCATTTGGTAGGTTCTGTTTCAATAACGAAATACTCGAAGAACTCCTTTTTATCTCTGCCCCTAAAGCAAAGGTGTTTTGAAGAAAATTTGATCTCAAAAGTAAAAACTTGTTAAGTAAATAAGAACAATGTTTTAGGCAGAAAACTTGTGTAGGCAAAACAGACATTGGAATAGCAGCTTTGAGTAGAATTCGTGGTGAAGTAGAACCATAAGTGAATTTCATTCGTTGTATCAATTGTAAGCCAAAAATTGAAGCAAAGAAGTAGAAATCAGAATGTCTACTGAATGTCACAACTGTAGTATGATATTTTATAATTTAATCAGCTGGGAATGATCCATACAAAGGTTTTCTTGTGATTTCCCTGTTAAGTACTTGCATAGATATTATTGCTACTGAATAAAATGCAAATTATTTTTATATATTGATTTCATATATAGAGACCTGATGTTATAAAAATGTATTGGGAGATGTCATTATGTAGTTTTTCCATAATCATACTGTGAAAATAATAAAAACCGGTAGTTCCTTCCTTTCCAGTTACTACAAACCTGTACTTATTTTTCTTACCTGACTGAGCTAGCTAGAACATTTAGTACAGTGTTAAATAAAATTGCTTATAGCAGACAACTTTGTATTGTCCCTCATAGTGACATGCTAGCTTCTTTTTTCCACTAAGTATTCTGTTTGCTGGAGACTTACCAGTTTACAGAAGTTTAATTCTGTTTATCGTTAAGAATTTTTTTTTTCCTAAAAGAGTGCTTTCCTTAATCTTCAAGATGAACAAAGGCTCTTTCCAAACTTTTTAATGAAATAAACTTTATTTTTTCTAACGTTGAAATCAGTTTCTCATTTTGAAGATAGATTTACTCATGTTTTATGCATACCTGAATCTATTTGCTAATACTTGGTTTAGTATGTTTGCATCTGTTTGTGAGGGTGACTGACCTGACGTTTTCCATGTTTTGTACAGTCTTTGTTAAGTACGGATATCAAACTAAATTTACTAGTCTTGTAAAATGACTCGGGAGAATGTTGTTTCCTTATATACCCAGGACTGTTTGTTTAAAATTAAAATTATTTGTTCCTTTAATGTTTGATAAAGCTCACCTGTAAAATTGTGTTGGTTTTCTTCCACATTCAGAATGACATTTTAAATGACTGCTGATTTTATCGAGTTACCACCTTCTAGAGTTTTATTTTAAATTACTCTTTTTCTATTTTTTGTCTGGCATTTTTAGATTTTTTTTTCTATGGAAGAGTCTGTCAGAGTATATAGTCTGCCCTACTTCTAGGAATAGAAGTTCTCTCTCATCCATTGTGATATCTATTCTTATTCATATTTTATATGGAGAACTCTGCTGTGAGGGGAGGGTAAGGAAAGTTTCCTATATGGAAAAATTTTTTCTTCTTTCTTGTCTTCCTCTTGCATGAAGACAGAAAAATAATATATTCAAAGTAAAACCACAACACATTCAAGGGCCCAGAAGTGAGAGACACATAGCTTACATAGAAAAGGGAAATCAAGTCACTGTGAATGGGCCTGGCAGAGGATATTATCAGATTCATTCCTGAGATTTAGGAATGTACAAATCTAGGGAGTCCTTCAAAGAGAGCTCAGTAGTTTGGATTTTATCCTGATGTAAGGGGGCAATTAAATTATGACAACAGTAATGATGGTTATATAAACGTATAGCATATTTTGAATTATTACCATTTATTATGCTAAGTGCTATAAGTAGGTTTTTAACCCTCAAAATACAGCTTTGAATTATGTTTTGAGAATTTTAACTCATTTCCCATTTAGAAAAAAAAATTGCAGCTTGGGGCCAGTGCTCATTTAATTTTACATAAACATGTTCTTTGAGACTGAAGCAAATCTGACTGATTTTCAATGTGAAAACAAAATATAAACAGTTCTTGTAGTTATTTCTTAACAGAACTTTTCTCTAATCTCAATGTAACAGGAATGTATATGATGTTACATTAGGATTAGAGACAAGAATATTCTTGGGGCAAACGGGAAATAGGTTAAGAAATAAAAAACATTAGTTCACGATGTAGATGGTATGTTCTGGGAACTTCAAGTGTGGCAGACTTCAATGGCTTTGACTAATTAGATGTCGTTAAAGTATATAAATGGGAAATATTGATAGTAATAGTAATATTGTGAAGCAAAAGAAGAAAATAAATCTTTTTATACTGTAACGTTTTCACTGTATATTAGCAATATTTAGCCCACATCACATATTTAGTTCCTTGGATATTATCTTTCTTTTGTCAGCAAAACTGAATGTTAAAAAATGATATTATTATCTCACACAAAATGAAGCTAGAATTTTATTTTGCCCAAGGGAATTTACATTTTATTTTAAACAAGGAAGACTTAAGATTTAATTACTCCATGCAGCCATCATGATAACAATTAAACATACACATGAGGGATATAGTTTCTTCTCACCACTCTGTAAAACAGCAAGAGAGTGTTCATTTAATCCAACTATAGAGAGAGATATTTTAAGTTTCTGATTGATTTACTGTCATTCATGCATAAACGTTGTTGAACTGAAAATTTTCTACTTTTCTAGAGGCTACATGTTATGTTTATGTATTCATTTTATTTTATACATCAACCATGTATTGATAATCTATTATATACCTGTTATATAGCAGGGGTTATGGCCTATAATTGTGAATTATAAATGGTTCAAGTCTTGATAAATTTGTAGCAAAATGGAAAAATATCCACATTAAAAATTATAGAAGTGAGAATTCCAGGCAGAGAGGGCAGTATAAAGCTACCATACAGAAATTCCCATTCCAATACCTAAAGCCTGACAAACAATAAAAATAACATGCCAACAATTACAAAAATAACATAAAATAGTGATATTAATAAAGATACACACACATACACATACACACACTAGTTAACTAAGAACCATAAAAGTATTCTGTAGTAGAGTGACAAGAGTCCTAACCCTATCCCTGTATCTCAAAAGCAAGAAGACTGAAAAGTCCCAATAATTGCCAGTAATACCCCAAAATATAAAACATAAGACATAACGACAGTAAAGAAAAGGAACATAGAATAGAAAAGACAATGAAAAACTGAGCATGGAAGAATGCAGGGAACTAAAGCAAATGCCTGATAAATATTCTGAGCTATATAACAAGTTTAAGAAGCTTGAATAGAAT
Organism: Homo sapiens; assembly: GCF_000001405.40. Taxonomy (NCBI): domain Eukaryota; kingdom Metazoa; phylum Chordata; class Mammalia; order Primates; family Hominidae; genus Homo; species Homo sapiens. The sequence continues at coordinate 16,400,980 of NC_000008.11, read as the reverse complement.
GAGACGAGAGCTCAAACACAAATTATAAAATTTTAAAATGAGATGAAAAACTATCACCAACATCAGGAAACATGTACAATAGCTTTTCAAAACTAATAAATTAGAAACAGCAAGAAACGAATTTGAGAGAACAAAAAACTGAGCTTTGGGTATAGAAAAATGCTTGAAATAATAAAATGGTAAAAAAATTTAAATTATTAGACAATTCCAACCAATATAAGGGTTTTTCAAGACAATTCAGCATAGAATAAATAATGTCTGTGATTTAAAGAATTCAGTCAGTGAAATACAGATACAATGAAAGACAATTTGAACTAAAGAGAGTAGAATCTTCGGAACAAAAGAGCACAACGTGTGTGTGTGTGTCTGTGTGGGTGCATGTGTGTGCCATATATATGCAAATATATATGTAGAGTTCCATTCGGAGAGAACTTAAACTACAAAAGAAAAGCATTAGCCTGACATCAGTTTTTTCATAGCAACATCCAATGCCAGAAGACAATAGATAAAATTCTGCAATGTTTTGCAGAAATGTTACTAGAGAGTATCATAACACAAGTGTGCTAGACAGTTCTTACATTGCTATAAAGAAATACCTGAAGTTAGGTGATTATAAAGAAAAGGAATTTAATTGACTCTAAATGGTTCTATAAGCTGTAGAAGCATTGTTCTGGCATCTGCTCAGCTTCTAGTGAGGCCTCAGGTAGCTTTTACTCATGGCAGAAGGTGAAGGAGGAGCAGGTGTCTCATCCGGTGAGAGGAGGAGCAATACCAGGGAGGTGCCACATACTTTTAAACTCTCATATTTTACAAGAACTCACTCACTGTCACAAGGGCAGCACCAAGTCATGAGAGATCTGTGCCCAGGTCATGAGAGATCTGCGCCCAAACACTTGCCACCAGATCCTACCTCCAACAGTGTGGGTTACCTTTCAACATGAGATTTGTTGAGGACAAATACCCAAACTATTGGACCAAGTATTTCATGGACAGAGCAATAGTCAGGCCATCTCAAATATGAAAGAACCTATATGTCACCTGTTAACCACTGGTAAGAAAAACGGAAACAAACTGCATATTAAAATTTAACTGATAACAATCCTCATCGTGACAATTCAACATATAATGCAATGCAGCCTTATAAAGAACTCACAAATGGTGCCTTGGTATTGGAGTAGTGATTATCTGTGACTCCAGTTAAATGTAGAATTGCTATAAGAAACCCTGTTAAACTGGTGACAATTATCACTGACTCCACTTAAATCTAGAATTATAATAAAGGATGTTAAACTGGTGGCAGGAGAGAATAAAAAAGTTACAATTTTTGCCATGTCAAATTATTGACAAATTTACAAAAGAGAAAGGAGGCAATTGAAATGGAAGGTGACTGGAAAGGAAGTGAGCCTACAAGAGAGCGAAGGTTTTTGTCTATGGATCAGGTAATATCTACGATTAAAACATATAGTAAGCCTGGGCGCAGTGGCTAATTCCTGTAATCTCAGTGCTTTGACAGGCCAATGTGGGAGCATGGCTTGAGCCTAGGGGTTTGTGATTAGCCTGAGCAATATAGGTCCCATCTCTACAAAAAATTTAAACAATTAGCCAGGTATTGTGGTGCATGCCTGTAGTCCCAGTTACTCAGGAGGCTGAGATGGGAAGATTCCCTGAACCCAGGAGTTTGAGGTTATAGTGAGCTATGTCGTGCCACTGCACTCCAGCCTTGATGACAGAGTGAGACCCTGTCTCTAACAACCAAAAATAAATAAAGAAATAAAACATATAATTTTAAACTGAAGTCTCTTGTCTTAATTACAATTCATTCCTATCTTCACAAGGATATTCTAAGAGAATAATATCTCTTATAATAAGGATATAAATGTTTGATTTTCAGTGGAGTTTCACTGAGATTTTCACTTCTACTTGATTTCGTTTTATTAATTTTTAACAAATTCAATTTAATATTATTTAAATAGCGTAAAGTATATAATCACAGTTTAAAAATTGCCTTTTTATGTACCGATTGATAATGTGTCAGAGTCAGGGTCTAGGCCAAAAAGCAGAGCTCATTCCACATAGTCCAAAAGAAGGACTTGAGTTCTGGGGACTAGTTGCACAGGTGCTTGCTGAAGGCAAGCAGGCACTATTAAGGTCATTCCTAGATTAACAACATCAATTAGTTGATGCTAGCTCTATGCCTAGAGGGTGAGAAGATAGAAGTGGTGGTACCCCAACCCAGAGCTGGGGTTGCCAGATTGGGGTGAGGTTACTCAGTCTCCAAGAAAGCTGTATGGCAGTGACCAGAACCGCAGATAAAGGGGTTGCCCAGGGTGAGCTGGGGCCATGGGGAGATACAGCTGCTTCCAGAAAAGCAGCTCTAAGCATAAATGGAAGAGGTGGATTAACTCTGTGTCTGTGTCCCAGTCTTTAGGGTCCTGTCAGTTTCTCACAGTAGCTAACTTTAGCCAGAACTCAGTGATCAAGGTTTCCTAAAATATGCGGGGAAAGTCAGAGAATAGATCTGAGAACTAATGTGCAAGGGGCTGGTACATCTTCAAAGAATGACATTTGGGTGGATGGTTACCTTTTGCTTAAAAAGGGTTATTGATAAATGGACTTTTGAACAGTTTTAAGTTTTTCTTTTTTTTTTTTTTGCAAGTGAGCTAGAGGAAATTTGCAGATGTTAAAACTTAATATTTGAGCACAGGTTGGTAGATGAGAAAAATATTTTAAAAGGAATTCTCCAGTGAAAAAATAATTAGAATACTTAGAGAAGAGTAAATTTTTGATATTGCTATTATAGGTACAATAGACTAATCAGAGAACATGATGAGGAAACATAGCGAGAGAAGATGAAAAGAATCTTTTCTGCCAAGAAATTTGAGTTCTTCAGTTTGCACTGGACCATTCTAAAAGTCAGTAAATGAGAAAGAAACATAATCAGAAATGTGATTTACGTCTAAATTCTTGACAGCAGCTAAAGAATATAGTGGAGGAAACAATTATTTCAGAAAATATCACCCTAGTCCACGTTAAAGAATAAAATATTACACTGTATTTATATCACACATATAAATTGGTAATAGTACTGTAAACTTACTATGATGTTTGATAGTGGGCCAACTTAATTCTGGAAAAGACATTGTTTCTAGGTAAACACTTCCTCTACTTGATTTAATAGATATGTCATTAGAATATAGATGAGTGAAATATTTTGGAAATTTGATAGCTTATCATAAATGGCAAAAAATCTCATGTATAAATTGTTAAACGAATTAACCCTAGGTCTCCTGAAACTGATTAGCCAATGATTCTCTGTTAACTCTCACAAGGTTTAACAATTCAATTTTCAAGTCTTGTTTAATGCCTAGTGTACATTTCATAATAGGCACTGAAGAGGGAATATAAATGAAGTGTAATATGTTTACCTAAATGAGTTTTCAAGTTGAATGGAAAGCATAATATGCATTCAATATTAGACTCAATGATAATATCACATTGCATGTAATGAAGGGCAGATAATGGTTGGACAGAAGGTATTGTGAAAGCTCAACAGACCAGTATGGAATGGAATAGTTGCAGAAAACATCATGAAGTAAAGAAATCTTAGGCTCTTCCCAGATTTCTATGTTTTTTTTTTTCGTGGTTATTACTGTTTCATTATTTCTAAGTGATTACATTAAGTTTTTCTGCAGTCTACTGATACGGAATTATTTATTAACAAATAAAATGTTGGGGTTAGGTTTCCTTTAGCTCACAAAGAGCAGAAATAATTATCATCAAAATGTAATTCAAGTGCCTACATTTGTTTTTTGAATTACTTCCTTTCATCTTTTTACAGTTGAAATATATTCATCAACACTGATGAAGCACTAATATCCAAATTTAGTTCTATTAAATTCATTAGCTAGGCATAGACTTGAAATATTTCAAAGCCACTGAAACTATTAATTGATGAAATACCATATTAGTGTCACATCAGAAAATAATTTGTTTCTCAAACAAACCTTTAACATTACAGATGGCATATTTATTCATTTATCAGTGGATGTGGAGAAAGATTATTTTTAGAAAGAGTAAAGTATGAGTCAATTATACAATAAAATGCCTGACCATTCTGATTTGAAGTATTAAAAAAATAGGTTTCAGTAGGTTGGTTTGCCATAAAATGTAATGATATGTTATGTTGAGTTATAATGTAAGAACTGTAAATCTTGATATGTAGAAAACAAACAAATGAAAAAAACCGTTTATCTGTTCCTAGTTTTACCAGAGTGGTTGATGAATACTATGCATGTTTTTCTTTCCTATGGTCAGTCATATTTTGGAGGACATCTGATTTTTCATCTACTAGCTAAAATTTCCTTGGTGGGGCGGGGGGCGGTGGTTGTTCCACCTCCACAACCACCTGTGAGGTTAAGTTGGAGTTTGCCATTAACAAACTCTGCCACACTACCCCAAAGCTGGGCATATGCCACAGGCCTGTTCCCATTCCATGACCAAACTTATCTAAGAAAGAAAGACCTGTGTTTTATCTGATGTAAGTGCCAGAGCTTAGAGCTGCTGAAGGCCTTGTTTTCTTCATGCAGTGGCATCTGAGAGAAGGTAGCCAACAATTTTCCCTGACGGCTAAAACTTCCTGATGGATATTATATTAAGAAAGAATCACCAGATTTGTGCATTTATATTTCTACATGCAATTGTAGTATCCTTCCACGAATCCCCCCTTTTACTTAAGCTAGGCTGGGCTGTTTCTTTAGAAGTTGAAACCTACAAGTATTACCTATTACATATCTGCCATGACAGTCAGGATGTGAAAAAAATGACACATCCACAATATATTATTCCAAATCCTTGGGGACGGATATGGTTCAGAATTTGAGTATTTCATGTAAAAGAACAGAAATGTCAGGGTAGCACTCTGGAGTCAAACCTATTAAGATTTTTGTAGTAACATGAATCAATAGTCACAACACTAAATGGGGTTAAAAGGAGTAATAAATGTCCTATTGTCAGTTCAGGTCAGTTTTGTATTCAATTGAGCTTTGACACCAAACCTAGGAGAACACTTGTTGTTTTTTCAGGATTCCTTGGATTTTGGAATTGCAGAAAATGAGTGGGAGCTGTGCTTTGAGCTATTATTGAAAAATAAATCCTCTCCTAATCTTAAAGATACAATTTACAGAACCCTGTTGGGTGAAAATTTGTTGTAACTGTCTCATACATTGCTTCCAGCCACTCCTTCCCCCTACCCAGAAGCTGCTCCCTAGAGAGGCAATATGGCATACAGGGCAGAAAGATTGGCTGACAGAATCAGGCAAATCTGTATCTAGATTCTGAAGTGGCTAAACGTGTCCTTTTATTTTGAGGATGAAATGTAAGCAGCAATAAGATCTATCCAATATAAAATATCCTTCTGAAAGCTAACAACAAACCCTGTACTATTTTAGACAGTAGAGTTTATCTGTTCATTCTCTATCACAAAAAAAAATCATGAGCCCATAATAATTTTCTTTGGGAAGATGTTTGGTTTGATAGTAACAATATTTAAAAATTGATGTATCTATTCATTTTGTGCTTTTCCTTTTTTTTCAAGAAAGTTTGGAGTAGATCAGAAATTTACATTTCAATTATGCACGAGGAACTTGAGTGTCTTTGTTAATACTGGATAAGAATCCATAAAAGAATCTTTCTTAGTAATCATAATAAACATAAAGATCATCAGAGCTAATATTTACTGATATTTAATTAATTTATTTACTCTGAGCTATGGCACTCTGCTAACACTTTACATTTTCTCCTTTAATTTTTACAACAACCCTGTAGAGTAGGTGATATAATCCTATTTATTTTACAAATGGAAAAATTGTGGTTTGGATAAAATAACTGTCTGAAGCAGCATGTGATATGAGTTCCTAAACCCCTATTTAGAGTTTAGGAGAAGCTTTTCATATGGGGTAAATGTCTAAGTTGAGATCTAAAACAAGATTTAGTTGAATGAGAAAACAAAAAGAAAACAAAACAATGTGGCAAAAGCCCTCAAATACAAGAGGAACTGCACACGTGAAGAATGGAAACCCTATCTACAGATAAGAGGATATACTGAAGCAGTAAAAACAAGTCACGGCAAGCTGGTTGTTCTAAGAAACATGAAGGAGCTTAGACATTATCCTGAAGGCCACAAGGAGCCACTGAAATTCTTATGCTAAAGAGCAAACGATTGTAATTTACATTTAATTTATGTTTCAGGTTGCATCATAAAGAAAGGATTGGAAAAGAGAAAAAAGAAGGCAAGAAACTCAAACTTATTTAAAAGGCAATAGCCTAGCTATCAGGTGAAATTGGTAGGATTCTAGAGATTTTAGGATTGTAGAATCTGTAGGAACTGATGGTTTATTTGTTGTATGGTATAGGACAGGAGAGGTTAAGTCCTGTGTTGAGGATTCAGTCGTGAACCTCAGTGAAGACATCAGTGCCATCTACTGAGCTACAGAACGTGGGAGCCAGAGCAGAGACAAAGATTAGCATAGAAAGCCATTTTTCTAGAAGATGAGTTTGAACTTCCATTGAAATATCCTGAAGGAGAAATATAATAGTTGGGTGTATAAATCTGCCGTTTAAGAGAGAGATAAAGGTTGCAGTTTAAGAGAGATATAGGCTGAAGTGTTCATTTTGGGAGCCATCAGTAAATAAAAGGACTTGAAATTGGAGTAGCGGGAATCAGATCACATGGACTGAGATTATTCCATGAGAGGAGAAACGCCTGAGAACAAAATGGAAGAGACCAGCAGCCCCAAAGACAGAACACTGAAGCATCAGAGAAGCCAAGGGAAGAAAATGTTTCAAGGAAGATGATAATAAGAAACTAAGTATGATACTGACATGAGTATCTATTAATGATATTAGTAAGAGCAATTTCAGCAGAACTGAGGGGATAATTCAGAGTGCAGTGGGTTCTAGAAAGAATGAGGCATAGAAAGTCTGGTTGAGGAATTTTTGTGGCCCTAAGACCCTAAAGAATAAAGGTGCCACCACCAAAATACCTTGCAACTCTGGCTTGCTGGAGACTGTTGTTATTATCTTCTTGTTTATCAGGTTGCTTATTTGTTTGAAATTTCAATAGGTTTTGGGGGAACAGGTGGTGTCTGGTTACATGAATAAGTTCTTCAGTGATGAAATCTGAGATTCTGTTTCACCCATCACCTGAGCAGTGTACACATTACCCATTGTGTACTCTTTTACCCTCTCCTCCCTCCCACCCTTTGAGTCCCCAAAGTTCATTGTATCATTTTATCCCTTTGCGTCCTCATAGCTTAGCTTCCATTTATGAGTGAGAACATACGACGTTTGGTTTTCCATTCTTGAGTTACTTCACTTCGAATAATGGTCTCCACCTCCATCCAGGTTGCTGTGAATGTCATTAATTCATTCCTTTTTATGGCTGAGTAGTATTCTGTGGTACATATATACCACATTTTCTTTATCTGCTTGTTGATTAATGGGCATTTACTTTTCAAGGCCAGCTAGGTGCCTGGAACTTCCCTTGAAGGGACTCAAGATTTTTTAAAAATTGCCATGTTTCAGCGGCCCAGAAGTAGCTAAGAGGGGTCCCTACTCCGTCTGAAGCTTTTATCTTTTGTTTTTGTAATTTTTTGAATTCTTGCCTTGGCACCTTAAACATTTATTTTGGCATTCAGATAAAGAGGGCCAGAGTACAATTGCAAATAATGACCTAAAAAACATGGCTATCAGGAGGGGAAAAATAGTGAGCAGAGCAGAAGGTGCTGCCAAAGAAGAGGGCTTTTTGTGTTTTTTGTTTATTTTTGTGATAGGAGAGAAGTGAACACGCTTAGATTTCATAAAAGGTTGTGATATATAAAAAGAAATTACAAACAAAGAGGAGAGAGAAAAAAATGATAAACCCAGCAAGTATCTAAACATGGAAGAAGGAATTGGACACAGAACACAACTGGTTGGATTACTCTTGGGCAAGAGACAAGTTATTTTCTGTATTTGAACAGAAAGAAATGAGGAAATCATAGAGGAGAGTGGAGGTTTGGGGATTTTAAAGTTTAGTGATTTCTTATCATATGGCATTTATTTTACCTACATGATAGGAGGCTGCTGAAAGTAAGAAGAGATGGAGTAGAATGCTTAAGAATTGTTCAGGAAAAACTACAATAGTTGTGAAGAATGGCTGAAGTTACTGACTAGGAGAACACAGAGTATTACAGGTGGCTGTGAGGGCTCAACTGTATGGAAGAATATGGTTACATGGTGTGTATTTGTCAGGGCTCTCCAGAAAAATAGAACCAATAGGAGAGAGACAGATTTTAAGGAGTTGACTGAAGCAATTACAGAGACTCGCAAGTCCAAAATCTGCAGAGCCAATGTCCAGTTTGAATCCAAGGACTGGAAGCTGCTGTGGAACCAAGAAGAGCTGATGCCCCAGTGTAGGCCATTTTAGGGCAAGAGGATCTCCCTCTTACTTGGAGGAGGGTCAGCCTTTTGCTCTCCTGTGGTCTTCAGCTCCTTGAATGAGGCCCACTCACATTATGAAGGGTACTCTGTTTTACTCAGTCTATTGATTTAAATGTTAATCTCAGCAGGGCACGGTGGCTCATACTTGTATTCCCAGCACTTTGAGAGGCTGAGGCAGGAGGATCGCTTGAGCCTAGGGGTTTCAGATCAGCCTGGGCAACATATTGAGACCCCATCTGTACTGAAAATAAATATTAAAAAAAATTAGCCAGGTGTGGATGGCTTATCCCTGTCATCCCTGCTACTTGGGAGGCTGAGGCGGGAGGATCACTTAAGTCCTAAAAGTTGATACTTCAGTGAGCTGAGATTGCACCACTGCACTGCAGACTGGGTGACAGAGCAAGACCCTGACTCAAATTAATAAATAAATAAATGTTAATCTCATCCAAAAACTCCCTCATGGAAACACCTAGAATAATGTTTTATCAAATATATAACTCATGACCCAGTCAAGTTGACACATAAAATTAACCATCATAAGGTGGTACAAATATTTCCTTTCTGGAAATGTTTTGGAATGTGATATGTAAATGTATGTAAAAACCGTCATAATTTTCTATCCCATTATGTGTTCACTTATTGTTGTTCTGCTAAATGAAAACAGATGAACTCAATCATAGGGCATCTCATTTATTTGAAAATCTTGCTCGTCTGCTTTTAGTAATTCAGGAATTCCATATGGTTCATCATCCTTTCATTATCACTGACACTCTTCTGCGGTTCCTCTTTTAGATCTAAGCATGATTCTCAAGAGAGAAGCTGAAGGAAAGAGTAACTGAGTTGGTGTACGTTAACTTATTTTTGTGAAAACCAAAAGCTGGCAGATTGTCAAATACTGCCTATATTTTGATTATTAAAGAATTCTGAACAAATCAGGACATGAGGCTTTTTTATCTTACAAACTTAAAGTAAACATAAGTTTGATTTTGCAGTCAACTTCTGTTTTCCAGAATTGATTTGATCATATTTATGTCATGTCCATATTACTTTTATGAGAGTACCTTATAAGGGTCCTACTTCACTTTTCTATATGCTTTAATGTAGATTTGACTTTGCAATTCTTTTTGAGGAATTGAATATATTGCATCAAAAAATGGTCTATGTCCCCCAATTTCAGTTATTTGGGCTTAAAATTTTTATTACAAGTCATAAAGAAATTTGTTTTATTTCCTCCCCCCCAAAAAACAATGAAAGGTATGGAAATGACCTGTGTTGGATAAGCATAGATTCTTCAAGAATGACATTTGTAATCTGCAACAGAAAATATCTAGTTCTAGAAAATGATATTCTGTTAAGTATAGTAAATTCCATCAACCAACCATACAGAATCATTTCAAATAGTCATTCAGCAACATCCCCAAAATAACTGCTAGTACCAATGGTATTATCTCTTATTCATAAAGACCATGAATGTACTTTTTAAGTAAATCAAGTTAGTGTTGAGTTGCCTACTAGTTAATTCCACATAAATATAAATATAAGCACTTACTCTGTGCCAGGCACTCAGGATGCAAGGTAAATGTGCCTGAAATTGTCCCTGCCCACACATAAAATATACATTGCAGGACATGTTTTGGCTCATTTGCTGAGAGCCATCTGTTTGGTTTTCTGGCATAGTCTGGGCACTGGTTCTTCCTTCATTCATTGCTGCTGTTGCTCTGATTGCTGTTTCCTCAATTCCAAGGGAAATGTTTCTTGAGAGCTATGTTCAAATATTAAAAATTGAGTGTATTTTTTAATAGGAAAAATCAGTTTACATTTATTGAAGTGGATCTGTGCTATCACATATGAAGATATAGGTAGTATACGCACTATGAGAAAATGTCAGAGAAGCATTTTGGTTGTTTTTTATTTGTGCTTTTTGACCTTGACATATGAGATAGTTTGATTTTTTAAAAATCACCATTGCTATATGTTAAATAATGCCTTTAAGGTTAAATGATAGAAGAGTTACAAGAACTTAAAGGCAAAACAATTTAAGTTGCAAACAGTAAGACAGAAACAGAAGTAAATCCTTCCCTACAGGGAAGTAAGCTGATTAAAGATGATTACTAGATGCAAACAGGGAGCAAAAATGCATAGATTATATAAGGTCATAGCAGAAACTGTAAGCAGCAAGTCAGCAGTCCAGCCAATATGTAGTCCTTAGAGGTGCAGACCCATGTTTAAAGGTCCACGTTTGAATTATTGGGTCCACCCCTCTAGTTATTTAAGTTATAATATCCTCATGTCATGCATACATATTACGTGACAAATCCAAACAATAAAAACACATTCAAAATACACTAGGTGGATTTTGTCGCAGACTTTTAGGCATTTCAAAACTGAGACACAGTTTAGGTTTTTACATCTGGCAATTCAGTCACTTGTCAAACTATTCCATAAGGTCCATAATCTCTATACTATAAAAATCTTAAAAGTTAAGCAGATCCTTAATTTTTAAAAATACAGTCTAAGCATAAATTTGTCACACTGAATAGAACAAAGTAAAAACTACAGGGAAGGAAACAGAGGAAGTTAATATGAAATGAAGTCTAAATTGAAAGTCTTTTCTGTGAGTTTAAAAATAGGCATTTCCCTGCCAATGAAAGAGAACACATGTGAATATTCATTTAGGACTATACAGTCTAGTTTGCTTCCTCAAGTAAGTGAACTAACAGTTATAATTTGCACAGTTATCAACTTAAAATTTTCACTTTCATCTTCCATTTGAAAACTTAAAGAATTTCAATTACCCATACTAATCAAGCTGTGGAGTAATGTATACAAAACTCATAGTCTAAAAAGGAAGTTTCAGTGGTAGATTTAGTTTGAATGAGGTATTTTTCCCAAGAAACTTTACTTCTGTTTTCCAATAAATAATTATTAGGAAGCATTTATGGTGAGCTCACAGCAGGGCTAGTCTGTAGCAGAGAAATGTATATATTATGATTCTCCCCAAAGCATGCTTATAATCTGATTGGAGAAATGATTTGCACAGATATGTAACAAATTCCCCCGGTTCATCCTGCATACTCAGCTAGCATGCCACCTCCTCCAGTAAGCCTTCCTGGACCTCCCAGACAGAGCCAACATCTCCCTCTGTGGGTGGCCCATCACAGGATTTACACTCAGGTGCTGTAATTACAGACTCATTTGCTATCCCTTTCCTGATTGGACCCAGAGCTATGTCCAACCATTTAGCATGAGGAAGTGTAATGTACGAATTTAGTAAAATGGGTGAAGTAGAAAGTACATCTATTCTCCTTCCAACCTCAAACAGAGGACTAAGAATTAAAATGCTCTCTGAAGCTAACATCTGGTGGTCAGATACTCAGTAGTCCACATTGTGTCTACTTCGTTAGAAGCAATCGAACCTGAGACATCTGCTTTAACTAGTACTCTCAGCAGCACCCATCGTATGACCTCCTTCTTTCACTCCTTCATACGTAATCTATTCCTGAGTACAATTTATTTCATTCTAAAGCTCTCTCCAATATTCAATTTATCCTATCAGCTGTACCATTCTAGTTCAAACTATTATCTCTCATTTGGACAAAAGAAATCTTTCCCCAGTTTTTCTTTTACCCCTTTCATGCTTCTCTCTTCACTGAAACCAATGTGATATTTTGAAGATTCAGATCAGATCAGAGTAATTCCCCTTCAGTGGCTTCTCACTGCTGGGAGAAGACCATGATCTTTAATGTCACTTGTAACGTGATACATGAATCTGCCCTGCTAGTCTCCCCGGTTGCAAATCCTACCAATTTCCTCTTTGCTTCATGCACTGAGTTATACATGTACTCTCTCAGTTCTTTCACCATGCTAAGCTTTATATCTAACTTAGGGCCTTTATATCTGCATTTCTCTCTTCTTTTAGTCCTCTTCTTCTCTGCATCACTACAACTGCCTAGCTCACTCCATTAATCCTTCAGACAGCAGCCCAATATTCTTCTTCCAGGAGAGCTTTCTCTGTCCTCCTGATTAAGTCTGATCTCTCTACTCATTCAACAGTCGTATGTTTCCTTTAATACCACTCACTGAAACCTGTAACCATATACTCAAATATGTGATTATCTCTTTAATCTTTCTCACCCCTACTATATTAAAAGCACCACAGAGATTAGCACTGTTTTGCTAGACATATTCCTAATGACTATTGTAGGGCCTACCATATAGTAGGTCCTCCAACAATCCTTCTTGAAAAAATTAATATAACGTTCCAACAAAAACCATATTGAAGAAGGATGAGTAAAACAAGAGGAATATGAGCTGTTAGTAAGAACAAGGACAAGGGGAAAGAAGTTACTAGATCATCTTGCTGAAAACTGAAAGTGGGGAGTGAGAGCTGGATTTAGAGTTTAAATATAGGTTAGACAATCTGGAATTTAATTCAGAAATAGAGAGACCTTAGTAGATTCATTAAGAATTCCCCATGTGATTTCCTTTCCCCCAAGCATCCTTGATTTATGAAAGATAAACAAAACTGACAAATTTTAGCTGCACTATTTAAGAAAAAAAGACATAAGATTCAGATAAATAAAATGAAACTCACGCCTGTAATCTTAACACTTTGAGAGGCTGAGGCAGGAGGATTTCTTGAAGCCAGAAGTTCAAGACCAGTCTGGTCAACATGGCAAAGATCCATTTCTCAAATAAATAAAATTGTAAATGAAAGAGAAGACATTACAGCTGATGCCACAGGAATAAGAAAAATCATAATAAACTACTATGAACAATTATACACAAACAAATTGAATAACCTGGAAGAAACTGATAAATTCCTAGAAACATAAAACATACCAAGACTTTATTACGAAGTACTACAAAGTCTGAACAGAGCTGTATAGAGATGATATCAGTAAGCAAAATCTCCCAAAAAAAAAAAAAAAAAAAGCCCAGGACTTGATGGCTTCTTGGGTGACTTCTGTCCAACATGTGAAGAAGAATGAACATCAATCATTCTCAAACTTTTCCAAAACTATTGAAGAGGAAGAAACACTTTTAAATTAATTTTATGAAGCGAGCATAACCCAGATAACAGCCAGACAAAGATGCCACAAGAGGCCAGGCGTGGTGGCTCACGCCTGTAATCCCAGCACTTTGGGAGGCCAAGGTGGGTGGATCACGTGGTCAGGAGATGGAGACCATCCTGGCTAACACGGTGAAACCCCATCTCTACTAAAAATACAAAAAAGTTAGTCGGGCATGGTGGTGGGGCCTGTAGTCCCAGCTACTCAGGAGGCTGAGGCAGGAGAATGGCGTGAACCCAGGAGGTGGAGCTTGCAGTGAGCCAAGATCGCGCCACTGCACTCCAGCCTGGGCGACACAGCGAGACTCCATCTCAAAAAAAAAAAAAAAAACACAAGAGAACTACAGGCCAATATTATTGATGAATATAGATGCAACAAATCCTCAATAAAATACAAGCAAACCAACACATTACAAGGACCATACACTATGACCAAGTCAGATTTATCCCTGGAATAAAAGGATGGGTAATCTAAAATTCAATTAATGCGATACATTAATTGATGAAAAAAATTACTTCAACAGGCACAGTAAAAGCATGTGATAAAAGTAAACACCTTTTTATAAATAAATACTCTGAAAAAATAGAAATAGAAGCAAAGTAGCTCAACATAATAAAAACATATGTGAAAAGCCTAGTTGTTAAATCAATGGTAAAAACTGAAAACTTTTCTCTAAGATTAGGAACAAGGCATGGATGCCCTCTGTCCTCAATTCTATTTAACATAGTACTGGAAGTGTTTGCAAAATTAGTTAGGCAAGAAAAAAAAAGGCATCCAAATTGGAAAATAAGTAAATTGTTTCTGTTTCCAGAGGACATAATCTTATATATAGAAAACCCTAAAGACTCTATTAAAAAACTGTTAGAACTAATAATGAATCAGTGAAGTTACAAAAAGCAATTGCATTTCCATATACTGAAAACATACTCTCTGAAAAAAATTAGGAAAAATCTCACATACAATAGAATGAAATAATAAAATAATTAGGAATAAAAGAAGGGGAAGGTTTATACACTGAAAACTGCGAAACTTTAATGAAATACATTGAGATGCAAACAAATGAAAAGACATTTGTGTTTATGGATTGGAAGACATACTATTTTTATGATATCCATATTCCCAAAAAGATTTGCAGATGTAACGCAATCCCTATTAAAATTCTGATGCCATTTTTCATAGAAATAGAAAAGAATACTATCTAAAATACATACGGAGTCATAAAAGACCTTGAATAGACAAATCAATCTTGAGAAAGAACAAAGCTGAAAGCATTATACTTCCTGATTTCAAAAAGTGTAACCAAGTTACAGTAATTTAAACAGTATGGTACTAGCATAAAAACATATATAGACCAATGGAACAAAATTGAGAGCCCAGAAATAAATTCACACACATAAATAGTCAACTAATCTTAGACAATCTTAGGGTTGCAAAGAATATACAATGGGGACAGGATAGTCTTTCAGCAAAGATGTTGAGAAACTAGATATCCACATGCAGATAAAGTTACAGTAATTTGAACAGTATGGTACTGGCATAAAAACATATATAGACCAATGGAACAAAATTGAGAGCCCAGAAATAAATTCACACACATAAATGGTCAACTAAACTTAGACAAGATTGCAAAGAATACACAAGGGGGACAGGATAGTCTTTCAGAAAAGATGTTGAGAAACTAGATATCCACATGCAGATGAACACAGTTGGACCCTTATATTATACCATACATGAAAATCAACTCAAAATGGATTTAAGGCTTAAGTGTAAGACCAGAAACTGTAAAATCCCTGGAAGAAAGCATAAGGGAAAAGCTTTAGGACTTTGGTTTTGTCAATGACTTCATGGCTATGACACCAGAAGCATAGGCAACAGAAGAAAAAAAAAGATGAATGGGACTACATCAAATTAAAAACCTTCTGTACAATAAAGAAAACAATCCTCAGAGTGAAAAAAACAATCCACAAAATGGGAGAACATCTTTACAAAGCATATATATGATAAAAGGTTAATTTCCAAAATATATAAGGAAATCTTACAAGTCAAAAGCAAAAAAAAAAAACCTAACAACCAGATTTTAAAACGAAATGAGTTAAATAGACATCTCTCTAAAGAAGTCATACAAGTGGCCACCAGGCATATGAAAAAGTGCTCAGTATTGCTAATCATCGCAGAAATGTAATTCAAAAGTATAATGAGATATTATCTCATACCTGTCTGGATGACATATGAAAAAAAAAAGTCAAGCTTATTAGTGAGGATGTGGAGAAATTAGAAAACCTTGCACACTGTGGGTAGGATTCAAAATGGTACAGCCACTGTGGAAAACAGTATGGAGGTTCCTCCAAAAATTAAAATAGAACCATCATATGATCTAGCAGTCCCACTCTCGACATTTATCCAAAAGAATTAAAATAAGGGTCTCAAAGAGATATTAGCACTTCTGTGTTCATTGCAGCACTATTCACAGTAGCTAACATGTAAAAAAACTGTAATGTTCATCAAGAAACGAACAAAGTTTAACATGTACATACAATGACATATTAGCCTTAAAATAAGAAAATCTGTCACTTGCAACAACATTGATGAACCAGGAGGAGGACATTATGCTAAGCGAAATAAGCTAGTTACAGAAATACGAACGCTTCATGATTCAACATACATGAGGTATCTAAAATAGTTAAACCTATAGAAGCAAATTGCAGAATTGGGGTTGCCAGGGGTTGGGAAGAGGAAGAAATGGGAGTTGTGAATCAACAAGTGTGAAGTTTTGGTTATGCAGGATGAGTAAGTTCTAGAGATCTGCTATAATCCTAGTGTCTGTATTTATTTATTTATTTTGAGACGAAGTTTCACTTGTTACCAAGGCTGGCATGCAATGGCGTGATCTCGGCTCACTGCAGCCTCTGCCTACCGGGTTCAAGCGATTCTCCTGCCTCAGCCTCATGAGTAGCCGGAATTCCAGGCGCCTCCCACCATGTCCGGCTAATTTTTTTTTTTTTTTTTTCAGTAGAGACAGGGTTTCACCATTTTGGCCAGGCTGGTCTCAAACTTCTAACAGCAGGTGATCCACCTGTCTTGGCCTGCCAAAGTGCTGGGATTGCAGGCGTGAGCTGTGGTGCCCATCTGAGCCTATGTTTCATAATGTGGTATTGTACACTTAAAAATTTGTTATGAGGGTAGTTCTTATGTTAAGTGTTCTTTCTATTAAAAAAAAAACAAAATTTTACAAATGAAGATGTCTTCTGTTACCCCCACATAACTGATTGGGCATACATAGGCCTCGGAGTCTTCATTATAAACTTTGCATAAAGAATGAAGAGGACAGAAGATGAATACTACACGTGTGATAACATTGTATGGTCATGTGAAAAAGGTACTAAAATGGAACAGCTAAGTGTGAGATTCAACCTAATAACTAATATCTGTTCCCCTTTTGCTAATAGGTATTTGTGTAAACAAGATAAAGTGAAAACGAATGGCAGGAATGTAGTAAATTACCTAAACACGTGTTTTGGTGCAAGGAATGTTGTCAGGAGGAGAAAAGGCTGAGTAAATAAGAGAAGTTTTCATAACAAACATGGGTCCTAATTAGAGAGTTGGGATCTTCCATGTGTCAGAAATAGCTGGGAGAAAGACTTTCATAAAAAAGCATGAGATAAATAGCTTTCTTATTCTTAGAAGATTAGAGAATTAGAAAATTACAAGCATCTTGGTTACCTCCATTGACATTTGCCACATAGACCCAGCCAGTCACAGAGTTTCAGGGTTAACAACTGGATATTACCAAAAGAAGTGGATCTTTTGAAACTTAATAATTTCCCTAAAATGTAAATGGAAGAAATGCTGGCAGTGAAGCAGTAAATAAAGGAGGAAGGGACCGTTTGGAAAGAGTATTTTCTATGTGGTTTTCAGAATTCATTGACTAGGGTTTATTTTGTATTTCAGGGCTTATCTTGTATTTCAGGGCTTAAGTTTTAATTTTTCTATTTTTGTATTTTTTCTATGAATGATGAATTATAATAGTGATTGATTTCTCCATTGCATTTCTCCACTTACAATCAATATTTGTTTTAACTTGGTTTTCTTTGTTGTTTTCGCAGATTGCCTGTTTTACTTCTCACCATTGATTTATGTTGCCAAAACAAAGAGGTCAGTAATTTGTGGCCAAATTCTTCTTTTACTATTCTAAATTTGAAAATTCCAAAAATGAAGCAAAAGCAGCATTTTGTCAGCTTTCTGGCAGAGATTCTCCTGCTAGACAATCATTTGTGTTGTTTCTGAAAAAGGAGAGCTAAGAATCTTACTAATTTGGACTATGTGACAATCTTTATTGCCAACTCCAATGTGTTAGAATTTCAACAGTTGAATTTTCTTCTGAAACGTCAGTATTCCGTGTGCATGTGGCTTTACAAAAAAGCATCAATCTCCTTATTCAACACTGTAAGCATTCGTCAGATTAGCTGCTTTCTTCTTAAGCCAAATATATTGGTTGTGAAATTCAGGTAGGATCAGTGTGGCTTGAGTAGCCAAATTATGGATATTGGTAGCTGTGTGTTGAATGAATCTCTTCCTCTTTTCTCGTGTCCCCTCATTTCCAAAATGCTTTCCATTTCATCTTTTTCCCACCTAAGCATAATTCCCTATTGGTGTTAGTTAGAATTTGGAAAATAGGAGTTCAAAATATCCTTTGCCAGCCGTACTACAATTTTGGGAAGTAATTTGGCATGCTTGACCTGGTATCTTAACATCCTTTACAACTTAACCTATGAAGGGAAAACATTAGGCTACCTACTAGATTAATCCTCCGTAGTAATCCTGCAGCAACAATTTCTGGCACTTTATAATAATACACTTCTCCATTCTCTGTATAACTTACTTCACTCTTTTGGTGCTGGTAGGATCAGACCTCAATATGGTGACTAGGATGGGTTCATAGGCAAACACAGGTCGGAGACAAGGATGTTGAATCTGTTTCCTGCTGTGCTGTCCTGACCAAGCTTCTTTCTGCAGTGGTTTCTTCTGCTGACCTTTCTATTTGCATATTTCCAACATTCCATATAATGAAATGATGTCATTGCATTGCATTGTCTGTATGGAAGAAATGCGAGAGTGTACTTAGAAGGCACAGCATAGATTCATGTTTGTGGAGTACAGCCAAATTTTAAAACTATTTTTAAAGAGTCATCACGTTTTATTTTATATAACTTCAAAGTGTTGTTTCTGTATGCTGACTGAATATTGAATTCTAAAACTTCAGCTATTGTCTTCAGTAGGATAGAAAAGATTAATTGCTTCTTGGGATTTGCTGTTCTTTTTGCCAAGCTTAGTGCAAATTTGGGGATGATGGTATTACATTAAGCTTTCTAAGATACAAAGACACACCTGGAGATTTCCAAGCATGACAATGTCCTTCTATTTGCTCTGAGAAAGATAGATTTATATTTCCAAATGGGGGTTTATATCAAACATCATAAGTAGAAAATTTCTAATGAAACAACAGATATTTTATTAAATAAGGTAATAGTGTATGCATAATACCTACCACCTAATAGAAACCTTTTAGGAAATTCAATCAAACATTTTTGTTTTCTAATCTAAGCTAGCAATTATAGAATAAAATTTCAGAAAAAAATTGAGAACATGCCTTTTCCATTTTAGAAAGATCGAAAAAGTACAGCATTTCCAATTGCCTGCTATGAGATTTTGTATTTGTAATGGACTTTTGGAAATACTTTATTTCCTATTTAAATATTAATTAGTTATGAAATATTAATTACATAATGAAATTTCATAAAAGTTTAAGAAATTGATAATCATTAATTATAATATTCTTCTAGAATATTATGAAACTTACTCTATACTCAGAAAATTTAAGTGGCAGAAGTTGTCACAATCTACTTTTCTGCTCAAGCAGCTGTACTTTCAATAATTTTATTTTAGAGTTGAAAGAAGACTTTACAGGATCATTTTCCTTGGTTGTTTCACTTCTATCAAGTTAATATTTTGGTGACTAAATGGATTTCAAGCACTTTTTTCAAAGTCATAGAATTTGCTTCCATGTTGAAGCAATTTCACATCCCAGAAAATTGGCTGAAATAGAAAATTTTATCTTTGTTAGCAATAAATCAACAAATTCAATTAGGGAAATACGTAACTCCAAAAATGTGACGGCACACTATAGTTGGCTTACAGTTTTTTATAGGATCAGCAACTTAGGGTAGTACAAATAAAATGTGCTCAAATACATTGTTTTTTAAATGGGCCATAAAATACCATTATTCAATCAGCAGAAAAAAATTGTCAAGGGTATAAATTGTTATGTGGGCCCTGAAGGTTTAATCTAAGCCTGAATCTTGGTTGGCAGTGCACCTGACAGCTTACCCGGAAGCCTAGAAGGATGAGCTCTCCAAGGACCACAGGTGGAGAAGAACAACTCTCACCCAAAGTTAATTGCACTGACCTGCCCTTGCATTAGAATAATACAAAGCAGATTATGAGTTCTACAAAATGGACATTGGTTTTATCTTTAGTAAAATATTTTTATCTGG
This sequence comes from Homo sapiens, assembly GCF_000001405.40. Classification (NCBI taxonomy): domain Eukaryota; kingdom Metazoa; phylum Chordata; class Mammalia; order Primates; family Hominidae; genus Homo; species Homo sapiens. Next base: position 16,380,879 of record NC_000008.11, on the reverse strand, counting down.
ATTTTCTCAAGTTAATATATAATTTTATAAGATATGGTGACATATGGTACAACTATTAGAAAAGGTTTGTCTTTTGGAATTTTCACAATTCTATTTTTATAATATTTCCTTGAAGTGAGATATAGTTTTAGCACTGGGCAATGTTGGTGTACAGCATATATATATATATATATATATATATATGTATATATACACACACACACACACACACACACACATATACACATTCATACACACACAATGGTTCTTCACTACCTTGTATGTGTGTATGTATATAAAACATATACATGAAACACATTGCTATATATGTGCTATATATATGAGAAACACACATATACACATATGAAACATATATGAAAAACACATTGCTAATATAAAATACAATGGCTGAGGAAAAAACTTGGTTAATTGATTTTAATTTTTAACACAGTTTCATTAAATAATAGGTTAGCATTCTTAGAGGAACCATTTGTCTGTAAAAATCATTAAAAATATTTGACCCTGTTAAGACGTTATGTTACTTTAATACATATTATTATAATTTTTAATCCATGGTTACTATGACACACTTCTGTGAATATTGATCATTTGAAAGCAGCATAAGTGTTTCATTTTTACAGCTTAAATTTGCTGAACACAAATGTGAAGGGGGAGCCCTGATAGTGTATCTTTGTCTCTCTCTTCTGGGATTATCTCTATTCAGTTTATTAGTCCAAGTAAGGGAGATTATTTTGAACACTGTATCCAAAGAAGTCACAGTTTGCAGGTGACAGGGACAGTTTCGTACACAGGTGATCAACGGGGGAGTAGAAGGCCCCCAGTTTACTTATGTCCGTCCCACTGGCCATTTGAGAGTTCCCCAGTGTGCATATCTTTGGACATGAGATGGCAGATGTTACTAGGATGTTTGAGAATGATATTGGCAAATGGAGATCCAAAGGCAAATAATCAAGTTCATGTAGATCTAAGAAATATACAATATGAAGTATTAATATAAGAACAGTGCTATTAATATGAGCAAAATAAGAGAATTTGGAAGAGGGTAATTATTTCTCTCTCAATCTAGGAAAGCCTGCCCTACTCAAGAGAGAATGTGGTGCATGAATTCTAGGTAGCGTCAAAGGTAGAAATAGAAACAATGGCTGGAAATTATAACAAATTCAATATGAAGAAACGTATAGAGAAGACTTCATGATTTCAGTGGTCCAAAATGAAATGAGTTGCAACAGGGGATAATGATGCCTTTGTCAAAATGGAGAACTTATGCACAAGTTAAAACCACATGCTGGGGATAACAGAAAAAATAAAGCTAACCCTTACATGATGTTGTATATGTCAGGCCCTAAGGCCAGTGCTTAACATTATCATTGCCTTTAATGCTGACAACAATGTTAGATGATAAATTCTTCCATCACCCCATTTTAAAGATGAAGCTAAGAAAATTTTAAGTAAATCAAAGGTCATATAAGTAGTACTTGTGGAGTTGGGTTTTGAATTTATGTAGTTTGGCTCCAGAGTTCATTCTCTTAACTGTTAGACTATATTCATTCTCAGAGTGGTTTGTTCCTATTGCTGATATTAATGTCGTATAAATATTTATATAGTAGGATAGAAATGGGGGTCAAATTAGTATAGAAAGGAAAAGGAAGTCAGAAAAAGTGGAATGTTGCTGCGAATACCACTCAAAATAACACCTCAAGTCAGATTTGGAAGACCCCCCCAAACAAACTTCCATATATTTTAGGCTAATCACTGTTTATAGATTGTAATCAAGAATGGAATATCAGCCTTCCTCAGATAGAACATTGTGAAATAAAATCTAACAAAGTGAACTCCAAAGGAATCTATTTTCATCATTTCCTCAATACTCTGTAGTTTTCCACACCTTAAGTATAACTATATCCGCCATATTGGACCCTATTTTAATGTTCAGATCCTTGAGTGAGACTGATTTTTCTTACCTTACTCCTTCTTCCATGTTCTCCATATACTTGTTACTCCCATTTAGCCTCAGTTCCCTTGCTTATGTTCTCTATCAGTATAAAATAACTTCCTTTCATTGAAATCCTACCTCCCCTACCAGGGCACGTTACCTTTGATCTCCTCTTGAAGGCTTTCTAAAGTTGCCCACACCATTTTTTCCTCACTCTGCATTATGAGTATAAATAAAGTCGGTAGGTTTGGCATTTCTTAGTTCTATAATTCATTCTCTCCATGTACAGTGTAAGCTGTCATATATACTTTGACAGCTGTAATTCAGTACAAATATTTTTGCGACTGTGGGTAGCTGCTAGTTATTTATTCTAAATGTCTTTAATGGTCTGTTGCTGTAATTTCTAGAGAGGTTAATAGTGAATAGTGTTCCTCCTCTAACAAATTTCTGTTGGATCTTGAAAAATGTGAAAGAATACATTATCTGGTATTCTGGTTGCTTGCTTGCTGGCTCTCAGCTTCATTCAAACCCTTCTTTGCTTTTCTATGGCAGGGAGCTGGAAGAATGCCAAGCAGTTTTCCCAGGCTCCCTTGCTAACAAGTTTCCAGTAAGATTTGGCCAATGCGAAGCCCTTGCAGGACATTTTTTTTAAGGAGAAAGAAAGAATAATTATTTATTTTCTGTTACTGTGGTGTCTCTGGTTGCAGTGATAACATGGGGAGGTGACTATGGGCTCTGAGAGCAACTTCAGGTGACAGGGTCACCAACATGTCAGTAGGGGTTTCAGTAGCATCCATGGAATCCATGTTCCTTTGTTTCTGCAACATCTTTAGCAGATCAGCTGGAGGGATGGCTGGTGTGTTGAGTCTTGAATTGAAAAGACAGCCCTGATAACTAGGTAACATTCCCTTCATTCCCTTCTCCCTTTCACTCTTCCAATATTCCTTTTCTTCTTCTTTTTTTTTTTTTTTTTTTTTGGTTGTTTGATTTTTGCCCTTCCAACAATTTTGTAGTTTATTCCCTGCTTTTGGCCCCTCTTCTCTTGCAGTATCTGGAGTGGTTCCTGTTTTTATTACTTGACACTGACCAATTCTCTCTCTGGTGCTGGGATCATCTCTTCTACATCTTATCTAACAAGTATCTATTCTCTACTAATATTCACCTATTGAGGTGAATGTTACACTCGCGACGGTACATCCTGGTTTTTCAAAAGCTTCCATTTAAAAAAGTTTTCTATTATATTAACTTTAACTCTTCTTCGCTGTATTTTCCTTTCAATTCTATTAAGTGGTTTCAGAACAAACAACAAGTAATATACCCCTTGTCCATGACTGAATTCTGAGACTATTAGAGTTGGATCAAAGACACATAGATGCACTTAAAATTATTTACTCAAATACTGACAAACCATGTGAAGAATGTAGATTCAGATCTTTGACCAAATGGACATGCTGATATTTGACACATTATATGAAATTTATCCATTCAGTTACTGACTCAACAGATTCATTATTATTCATTTGTTAAATGTTTGTAAGTGTTTGGTAAACACTTCTGAAGCCCATCCTATAATCCAGGCAAATTTCCAGATACGTGGGTTGATACCAGTGAGCTAAATAGATTAGCTCCATAAAAAGCAGAAGAGGAGAGGCTGAGGTGAGCACATCTGAATTTTTTGTTCCAAATCCACCAATTAGAGGAACCAGTCCTCCATTTCCAACAAGAGTGAACAGGAATCATGGAGAGATACCAGAGGCTAGCGGAAGTCGAGGTGTGGGCGGTCTCTTTTTGGAAACATGAAGCAGAGAGAATGAGGCTCCCTTTGGCTTAAACTAGGCATGGCCAATATTAAAATGCAAACATTGTAGGAGATGTAACAGAGCAACCTTATGTTTCATTTAGATATCAGGCTTATATTTCTATGAATAGCTTTTGTAAATGGTCATCAGTTAAAGACTCTGGAAACACTGGAGGTAGTGATTTTCAAAATCATTAACAGTTTGTCATGAATACTGGCCAGCCTGAGGGGACCCTGGCGGTAATTTTCCCTATGGCCACACCAGTCTATCAGGTGAACCTTGTCATTGGACACGAAATAACTGAGGAGAGAAGCTCAAGGCAGTAAGTGATAAGGAGGAATTTGGAGTTACTAGAGATAGAGTCACTCATTTTTGTTTACTGACACCTGGCCCAAACGCAACTCTGATTCTAATTTTAATAAATTATACAATCAAGAGTCACTTTCACTCTGAAATCTAAAAGATTGCATTCAACTTTTAAATTATTTGGGAACATAGTCACTTTCCCATACATTCCAGAAGTAACTTTTTATTTGAAACTCTATTAAATGTGTATTTTGCTCCTTAACTGACTAGAGTTCTGAGCGGGCTTCTAGCTGTGCAAGTAATCTTTGATGCATATGCTTATTCTTATTTTAAATTATGTTATCATTTCATATTTTTATTCTTATTTTTATGTCTTATTTTATATTTATAAGTGTTATGGAAATATTTGATGCAATTCAAATAATCTTGACTTGTCATTATTGTCAGTACTAGTTCCTTGTAAGGCATTTTTTTTTCGGAAGACTAATTTGTAAATATTGTAAAAATTTTAATAGCTTGAATCGTATATACAGCTAACTAAAAATTTGCATTAATGATTGGTGGGGCTTATGTCATTAAATCAATGTATTGAGCTCCTTTTCTTTGCAGAGGCTTTAGACTTGAGAGGGTCCTGGAGTCTCCAGGAGTGAGGGTTTAACATGTAAGCCAGGAATATCCTTACAAAGATGTGCCCATTTTACATATAAAGAAACTGAGTCCCAAAGAAATTCAGTACCCTACCTTAGGTCAGAGACCATGGAGGAGAGCTAGTATCTGAACCATGTCTTAGCCAGTTTGATGCTAGGATGGGATGGGGGTGAGAACTCAGGCCCTTGGCGCCTGTGATTCCAAGTATGGCCTGGGTGTGATGGCTAGCTGATTGGGGGTGGGATGGGATGGGATGGCCGGGTTTAAAGGCCAGCATCTTCCTGCCTGCAAACCCCCATCCAGCCTTGATTCCAGGTCAGCAGGCTGGGGAGGATAGCCCTATACTGGACTACTTGGAGCTCCCAGGCACTGCTTGTGGCCAGCCCTGCCAAAGCGAATCACTTAATCTCCTGGAGCTGGAAACCCGGTTAGACCCAAGTCTGGTCTGGAATGGAACAGGCACCCAGTCTGGGCCTCTTACTCCTCCATCAGGTAGAAATAATTCAGTGGCTAACAGAGGAACTCTGTGTCTCATGCTCAGCACTGCACTTGGAACAGAAGACCCCCAAGACCCATGCCTGAATCATCTGTGTTCTCCATAGCCTCTGCCAAGCCAGGTCTGAACTAGGACAAGGGCTCAGGTAAATTTGTGGCAGTGAGCTCTGGAAGGCCAGAGGACCAAGGAAGGAATGTACCCAATGAATCTGCCCTCTGCTACAGTCTCCTAAATGGAGTTAGGTTATTGCTTTCACCAGGTGACAACCCCTAGAATTTTAATAGCTGCACCCAAGGAGCACCAATGAAGGGAAAGCAGGGATGGGCCAAGGTGATGGGGAGGGACAAGAGCTAATAGCCCCCACTAGCTTGGCTGTTCCTGGCAGGTAGTGCTCACCTAGTGCTGCCACCTGTACATAGGGTCTTGTTTCCCACTTTATGCAACTAAGACCTAACAAAGAATCCTTTTGGCCTTCACTCTGCCCCACCAAATCCCTTAGCCCGAGTCTCTGGATTGCCTGTCTCAAGGCTCCAAAACCCACCTTATTCCTCCTGAGGTTCCTTGGAGTGCAGCTTGTGGGGATATTGTCATGCAAGCTGCTCTGCTGGACCTCAGTAGCCCTTCTTCAGGAGCCAGGCTTTGCGCTGCTGGTCAAAGTAGCCCTTGACCTGCAGGGTACCTGTCAACTCTTTGGCCTGGGTAATGCATGTCTTTGCCAGCAGTGGACTCAGAAAATCTTCCACATTCTTCTGCGGGGCCCAAATATGGTCCTCCGCGCTCCCGACCGGTTGTAGACAGGGATGTTGTATATCTGAGAGTGCTGCACTAAGTAGGGCAGGTTGGATGGGGGTCTTTGAGAGGCTGCCAGTTACTAAGACTGAGATAATGTTCATGCTTTGGGGGCATTAAGACGCTGGTAGGGAATAATAGACACTCCACAAATTGGTATTCATACATATACTCTACAAACCTGGGGTAATCTGGAGACCCCTGAACCTATCTCAGCTATATGGTGAATAGCCAGACTGGATACTGGCTCTCCAGTCCAGCAGTGCAGCCCAGAACGTGGATGTTGCCCTGTTCTGGCCTTGGGCTCTAAGACATTTTTCACTGAGGCCAAAGCTATTAAAATAAATTTATGCAAAGTTGTTTCTGTTTTGTAATGCCAAATATTGTGACTATATAAAACTTTTTCTAGATGACTGTCTTATTTATAATTTTAATATTTTCAAACCCTGTCAAAACATGATTTGCTTTTATAATTAGAAAAATAGTTGCATTATTTAAATACTTCATACATATAATCTTGACCCACTGGATTACTTTGTTTTAAGTCTGGCACATATTTATTAAAATAGAATTGGAGAATTTTATAGTAAAAATACTTCTATTTGGTTGCATTGTTTTAAGAAACAACACAACTGTATTCTCAGCTTTTGTTAAATAAGTGTTTGCTTCAGCTAAGAAATTAGGAGATTTATTCTGAAGTCAATAGTAAAAACACAATTCCTTTCTAAGCTTGTTGCTTACAGGGTTTTGCTGAGGTGTATTGATCTAGGTCAGTGTTAACGTAGCTTCATAGCCAGGAAACTCAACACAGATAAATAAAGGGCAACTGCTAGATTTTTAATTAGAAAAATATACAGCAATGGCACTATTGTCTTGACATATATATATGTGTACACACACACATACATATATACATATATATTTTAGTTATATAAACAAAGACCTTTGGATTTCACAACTTATTTTGTATTATTAATTTGAATTTCAGTATTTGATGATTTAGTCTTTTAAAATGTTGTACAATCATAATATATAAGGAGATATTAATTTGTTAGCTTATATTTTTAACACCAAAAATTGTGATCTTTAGTATAAAAAAACTAACCTGCCAAGTTATAAGAACTAGAGCTGTGATACAACATAGAACAAACCTTGTTTTTCACAGGTTTTCTCCAAATTCTCCAAATTATTATCTGATATTGAACTGATTTTATTAAGAAGAGTGAAGTGATAGTTCAACTCTACTCAGACAGAAGACATGTACTTCCAAGAAGACGGAGTTTGCAAAGATCACATTAGCACATATTCTGTCCATAGATTTTCTACTGTGATTTAGTTGGATAAGCTTATGCTACACATTAGTGTAATAAGACTAAAATTATTGATTTGTATGAAATGTAAATTAAGTTTTAAATCTTTATCATTGGAAATGGGTGGTTTATATTTTTGTTTTTTTCTTAGTTCAGGACCACTTGAATCCCCCCAGGAATCCACTGCAATTGTTATATTCCATTGTCAGTGAGTGAGAAAGAAAAGAAGGAGGATGGGTAAGAAAGGGCTTGGAGAGTCTGGGAGCCTATGTGAGTCTGTGTGCAAAGCATATTAACTCTGACTCTGCCCAAAGCTTACAGAGAAGATATTCAGGTATATAATAATACTTTATCTAGCTATGGGATATATGGGAGCCAGTATGTTATAGTGGTTAAGAATACAAACTCTAGCATCACATATGGGTTCAAATCTTCCCTTCAGCTCTTACAATCTATGTGGGTTGGACAGGTTAACTAATTTTCCTCCGCGTCAGTTTCCTTAGTTTAAAATAAGCATTTTAATGGTCTCTAATGTAGAGGCAATAATGCTGATAGAAGCCTCTTATAGTAAGCACATGATAGTAATTTATATTCCCTTTCAAGTGTTGGATACCGGAATGCAGTTATTCAGAAATGATCATCATTGAGTTGATTCATTATTGTAAATGAGTTCAGCTTCTCTCTGACCACCTGATTTTGTTACCAGTCCAAATTGATTATAATCACCTTTGCAATTGTGGCTTACTCATTATCTCTGAAAATAAAATTTGAGTCTGTGCATTTAAAAGAAGGAATGACACAATTTTTATTGAATGAAGTTAAATGAAATTCATCTCATTTTTTTCTTTTCCTCATTTCAGAAACTAAATTGAGATACTAAAATGTGAGATAAAAAACGTTTCTATGTTTAAATATTGTTTACATCATGTCCTGGAATAGAATGAGAGTTAGAAATAAATACATATGCCTTTGTGGTGCATAAATAAATGCATAATGCCTTATGGTATGCATTAAATGTTTCTTTATTTAGATGTCAAGTTATACTGATATACCATAGCTCTTTGAAAATGAATAATTGGTCCTTATAAAAGAGGAAATTGGGATACAGAGACAGGCCTACAGAGGAAAAAAACTGAAGACACAAGAATTGAACAGCCTTGTGACTGGAGTGATTCATCTACAAACCAAAGAATACTTGGTGCTACCAAAAGCTGGGAGAGGGGCCTGAAAAAGACCCTTACTGGGATCTTTCACAGGAAATGTGCCCTGCAGATACCTTGATTTTGGACATCTAACCTTCAGAACTGTGAGACAATAAATTTTTGTGTTCTAAATCACCCAGTTTATGGGACTTTGTTATAGCTGTCCTATCAAACTAATATTGGACTTAAGATCACGTTTAAACAAGAATTGAGAATTTTAGATTCCTTTCCTACCACAAGCAGAAAGAACAAGAATCTTTAGGATTTTTCCCTGTTTCTCATCAACAACCAGCTAGCACTAAATGTGAAGTTGCCATAAAGCAAATTTGCTATATGTAGATTTCATGAGGGTTGTTTTCTCACACAGTTTGTTTTCACCTTCCCAAGTATCTAGGACTTTAAATTAAGAAGAAAAAAAAATCTGTCCAGAAATTCTTGGGAATGTTGTATGTGATCAACAGAATTTATCAATTGTATTAGTTTTCTGTAACTGTTCCAACAAATTACCATAAACTTAGTGGATGACAATAATACACATTTATTATTTTACAGTTCTGAAAGTCAGAGGTCTAAAATCAGTCAGTGGGCTAAAGTCCAGGTGTAAGCAGAACTGATTGCTCTGGAGGCTCTAGGGGAGACTCAGCTTCCTTGCCTTTGCCACCTTCCTATCCATAGTTTTCAGTAGGTGGCTTCTTAGTCCACATTTAAACATAGCAGCGTATCAACTTCTAATCTCTCTGTCCTCTCTCTTTGCTTGTATTGTCAGATTACATTTACTGTCTTTGAACTGTAAGCCAAAAATAGGATTCTAAGCCCCCCAGTCAACTGAATGAACCTCTCCTCTTGGCCCAGGGCATTCCAAAGAAAACCTGAAAAACTAGTTCTGGCCATGATGGGAAGGAGAGGTCAGATGTGTCTCATTATACTCTCCTGTCTTTGGAGTTCGGGGACAACTGATCATTAACATTAAAACAGAGATCTTAAGACTGACTAAACAGACTCTCTAGCAATAAGATACCAAAATCCAACCTGACTCTGGTACAGCATCACATGACACATAGCAGGCCCTGAAAGAAATCAAAGTATTTTACCCCCAAATATATTTCTTTTACCTACTTTGAAATGGTCCTGCTAAGCTGTCTTTTCTGGGAAAAATCTACATTCAGTAGAGAACGTAGATTCTCTACATGTAGACCCTTTACAGGATGTTTCTTGATCCAGGAGAGATTAAGTGTTTGGTACCTTTTTAGATCTGATTGGAAACATTTCCCACGTATTCTCTCTGAAGCCTAATACTTGGAGATTTCATTTGCGTAATAAGCACCTTGGTCTCCACAGCTCCTCATCTCAACCCGGACACTCCTTTCTATTGATTCCAAGTCTTTAGATAATAACTTAACTCTCTCAACTAATTGCCAGTCAGAAAATCTTTGAATCCACCTCTGACTGGAACCCACCCTCCCCCACGACCCCCGCCCCCCCAACCTTCGAGTTGTCCCACCTTTCTAGAACAAACCAGTGTATACCTTACATGTATCGATGGCTATGTTATGTCTCCCTAAAATGTATAAAACCAAACTATAGTGCAATCATGTTGGACACATGTTCTCAGGACCTCCTGAGGCTGTGTCATGGGCCTTAGTCAATCATATTTGGCTCAGAATAAGCCTCTTTAAATATTTTACAGTTTGACTCGCTTTGTTGACAGATCCTCCTACCTTTCTCTCATAAGGACCCTTGAAACTACATGGGGCCCACCCAGATAATACAGAATAATTTCTACATCTCAAGATCCTTAACTTAATCATACTGCAAAGCCTCTTTTGCCATGTAAAGTAACATATTCATAGATTCTGAGGATTAGGATGTAGATTTTTGGAGGGCCCTTATGCAGTCTACCACACCAATAAATATTATCTGCAAAATATATTGCTCTAAACGTCAATTAAATCTTAAACTTAAAAAAGTTGGTCTTTCAAAACTATGCCTCCAGAAAAGCCGACAGAAGAAACCCACAGACTTAGTGCACCTGCTATGTTCTTTTGATGAGAATCCATTTATTTCTTCTGGAAATATTTATGAAACATCTGCTAATTTATAAGCACTTTTTAGGTTTCTCCTTCATGCACACTAGCTGAGGAGGGAGACTATAACAAGTAAACAAATAAATAAATGCTACACTTTCAGGTCTTGAGAAGTGCTATAAGACAGAAGATAAAGTAAGGGAACTGATAATGAATGATGGATTACTATTTTAGATGGGGACATATCTCTGCAGTAAGTGACATTTGTACAGGCTTGAATTAAATGAGGAAGGAAGAAAAGTAAATACTTAGGTATGGATTTTTTTTTCCAGGGAAGAAAATTTATATTAGGAAGTTGTTTGCATCAAAGACACATTGTTCTTAAGTGAGTGATAATTCTTTATACCTTAAAACAAGAAATTGCTTTTAATAAGTTGTCATGTCAAATATAGCCTAAGGGATTTTGACACAAAGTAACAAATGATGCTCCCTCAAATATACTTACGTAGAAATAGACTCACTTAAGGTATGTGTCCTTAGATAGAATCATATCCATAATCCTCTAAAGGAGTAGAGCTCAAGGTCATTACATAGCTCTTGCTCTTAAAAGTCCTGGGCCCATTTTGCACGAAATATTCTCTATTCATTGGGGTGACCTGTTATAGCATCTATAATATAACATTCATCATCAAAATGGCTTTGTTTGTATAAGTGATGGTGCTTGCAATCCTTAGAGAGAGCTCTTTTGCTAAATCAGGGCTAAGGTACTTCCTCATGCAGCAAATAAGCATGTCCAGAGCTGTATTGGAGAGTCAAGACTTCATGCTTCCTCTCTGCTTCGTAGTTACGTATATGAAATTGAACTGATAATGAAGCGCAATACTGTGTAAAGTCTCTGCTTCTTGTGAGTCTGAGTTGGCAAAACATTTCTTTATATTTCTCATTGCCTAATAATTTTTCCTAATAAGAGCCACCGATAGTATGTTATTATTCAATTTAATTCAGTAAGTCTTCATTTAAGGGCACCAATTTGTAGCACAAAATTAGATAGTATGCAAATGCATAATAAATGAGTGAAATAATTACTTTTTCAAGCGACTTATAATCTACTTGAATCATTTCAATTACAACTGCATAAATATCAGAACATCACTTGAAGAAGCTTCTGTGAGCTCGTGAGAATTTTACACACAGTAGGTTTTCAAGGATTGTTGGCTGAGAGTAATTGAGTCATCGCTGAGGCTAAGTTAGAAAATTACTAAGTCTAGTTCATTGTCCTCTGCTTCTATCCCCTCTGTTAATGCAAGAAATATAAAGCCAATTCAATAACATAAAGTCCGACCTGACAGGTCAAGAATAAATAAATATGAGAACTGTATCATTATTGTGCTGGGAGAAAATTGGAAAAACTGATTTAGACTTTCTATTATCCTTTAATAGGTAACACTTCAATTTTGAAAAATAGATTTTATTTTGTGAGGCTACGATCACTATAAAAGTCTAGGTTGACCTAGCAAGGAGAACAAAATAAGAATAAAAATGAATTGAGGATAATCAAATTTTCTACAAGTACTGACAATAATCAGAGTTTAAAATCTCATTAAATTCCTATAGATTAGAGCTGAAAGTGACTTAAATAACTGTGGTTATTTATTGATATATATGTAGTATAGTGATTCATTAATGTATGTAATAATTACTTTTGAAAAAGTATTTTGGAAATATTCCAAATTTTATATCAATTCAGAGCTCTATTATTTTAATATCTATATTCTTTTTGTTCTAATTTCTCTTAGAAAAAAAAAACATGGTGAATTGAATGCCCACAGTTTGATGTGAGGGTAATAATGATGGCTAACACTTATTGAATGCTTACTATATTTCAGGTACACAGGCTTTATGATCACATGCATTATTTCATTTATGTCTTTCAGCTACCTGAGGAGGTCCGTATTTTATAGCCTTTGTTTAATATATGGGAAAATGGGAGTCAAGGAAAATTAGAGTCCTTGCCTTGGTAATACATCCAGGACACAGGAAAATTGGAATTGGAACACCTGCCTGTGACACCAGTGCATGCTTTTAACAACGACCTTGATAACTTCTCACTTTTACTCCCTTCCTTGTTTACCCAGTCTGTCCACCTGGAAATGCTAGTTCATTAAGACTCAGATCAAAGGTCATTTCCCATCAGAATGTTTCTCTGACTATTCCAGACACAGTCTAATGCATCATCCTTTTCTGATCTGTAGAGAACATTAAAAGGTTGTTTAATTTTAAGCTTTTATATAGCTGAGAGAGTTATTTGATGGCAAAAAGTTCTTCATGAACTGGTAAGTACAGGATTACCTATGATGTGCAATTTATAACTAGAATGAGAATAGCTAAACACTCCTTAACAAAGAACTTTGAACACCTTTAATGATTTCGACGGATTTGCAGGCATCAAAATGGATGTAGTAACACAATGAATGTCCAGATAGGTAGTTTTGATTTCTGAAATTGCTCATTGTTCTGACTCTATTGAGAATTCCCCAATTTACACATCACTTTACTCAATTTGCTTCTCTCTCAATGTGCTGACTCTAATAGCAGTGCCACTTCTCCCTGCCTTCCCCATCCAAACCTCTCTCCCAGAGATAGCTGCTTTCCTAAGAAAATTGTTTTCAGCATATTCTTTTCTGCGTATTCTACCCCAATAACGCACAAAAAACAACATATTGTAGTTGTAGTAACTACATCTACCAGTAAAATTTCAAGATTGGAAGTATAAACCAATTAATGTAATTAACTTATTAGGCAACCTAAGGCTATTAGGAAATCACTTTGCTCACCATTGAAATGGTGTCATTGGGATGGTTTCCTGTGATGGGCAGCACTGAGCACCTTGGTGAGTATGCCTGGCTCTAAGATCAATTTAACACAGAAAGCTGGAACATGTTAAGTTGTATTAATACATAAAATAAAACAATGCTAATTAAAATACAATGAAAATATGTTGTTTGTCCCTCTTATCCTGGGGTAATAGTCTTGTGATTGAGTCAGAAAGCAATGCATTGTCTTTGAAGTGTTGTGTTTTCCTGACTCATGGTTACCTGGGTGAATACCCTGACATCTTTGGGACATCAGCTATGTGTGGGTGCTGTTGTTGAATCCAAACTGTGAGTGATTAGACCACAGCAATCTGCAGAAGCGAAGATCTGATAAAATAGGTCTATTTCTCAGATTATTCTGGGACCATTTTCTGCAAAGGGAAGTATTTTGATTGTTTAAAATGGTTGTGGTTACTCTTATTAACAAGCAATAGCTTTTTTCCAATAATTAAAAAATATTCAATAGCTTTATGTGTACAAGTGATTTTGGTTACATGGATGAATTGCAGAGTTGTAAACTCTGAGATTTTAGTGCACCATCACCCAAGGACTGTACATTGTACCTAATATGTAGTTTTTACCCTTCACCCTCTTCCCACTCTCCCCTCTTCCACATCTCAATTGTCAATTATACCTCTCTGTATGCTTTTGTGAAGACATAAATAGCTTACCTGCCACTTACGTGTAAGAACATAGGGTGTTTCGTTTTCCGTTCCCGAGTTATTTCAATTAGAATAGTGGCTTCCAGCTCCATCCAAGTTGCTGCAAAATACATTATTTCATTCTTTTTTATAACTCAGTAGTATTCCATGAGTAGTATTTCAATGTGGTGTATGCTTACCACATTTTATTCACTCATTGGTTGATGGGCACTTAGGTTAGTTCTATATCTTTGCAATTGTGAATTGAGAGCTGCAGTAAACATACGTGTGCAGGTGTCTTTTTGATACAATGACTTCTTTTCCTTTGGGTAGAAACCCAGATTGGAATTGCTGGATCAAATGGTAGATCTACTTTTAGTTTTTTTTGAGAAATCTCCATAGAGATTGTTCTAATTTAAGTTCCCACTAGCAGTGTATAAACATTGCCTTTCCACCATATCTATGCCAACATCTATTGCTTTTTGACTTTTTAATAATGACTGTTCTAGCATGAATAAGGTGGTATTTCATTGTGGTTTTAATTTGCATTTCCCTAATGATTAGTGATGTTGAGCATTTTTTTCCTATTTGTTGGCCATTTGTATATCTTCTTTTGAGAAATGTGTATTCGTGTCATTTGCTCCCTTTTTTGTGGGATTTCTTGTTTTTTTCTTTTCTCGCTGATTTGTTTGAGTGCCTTACAGGTTGTGGATGTTAGTCCTTTGTTGGATGCGTAGTTAGCAAATATTTTCTTCCATTCTGTGGGTTATCTATTTACTCTGATTATTATTTCTTTTGCTGTGCAGAAGCCTTTTACTTTAATTAGGTCCCATTTATTTATATTTGCTTGTGTTTTTCTTTTGGGGTCTCAGTCATAAATTCTTTGTGTAGGACATTGTCCAGAAGAGCTCTTTCTAGGTTTTCTTCTAGGATTTTTATGATTTCAGGTCTTAAATTTAAGATAAATTTAATTAGTCTTGGGTTGGTTTTTATATGGTGAGAGATAGGGATCCAGCTTCATTCTTCCACATGTGGCTATCCAGTTTTCCCAGCACCATTTATCGAACAGGGTGTCCTTTCTGCAATTTATGTTTTTGTATGTTTTGTTGAAGATCAGTTAGTGGTATTCAGTTTTATTTCAGGGTTCTCTATTCTGTTTCATTGGTCTATGTATCTACTTTTATACTAGTGCCATGCTTTTGTGGTTATTATAGCCTTATAGTATATTTTGAAGTTGGATAATGTGATACCTCCAGATTTTTTCTGTTTGCTTAGGATTATTTTGGCTATTGAGGCTCTTTATTTGGTTCTATATGAAATTTAGGATTGTTTTTTCTAATTCTTTCAAAAATGTTGTTGGTATTTTGATAGGAATTGTGTTGAATCTGTAGATTGCTTTGAGGCAGTATGGTCATTTTCATAATACTGATTCTTCAACCCATAAGCTTGGGATATATTTCCATTTGATTGTGTCATCGGTGATTTCTTTCAGCAGTGCTTTGTAGTTCTTCTTGTAGAGATTGTTCATCTGTTGGTTAAGTATATTCCTAGGTATTTTATTTTATGTTTTGCAGCTATCATAAAAGGGATTGAGTTCTTAATTTGATTCTCAGCTTGGTCATTGTTGCTGTATAGCAGTGCTACTGATTTGTGTACATTGATTTTGTAACCTGAGACTTCATTGAATTAATGTATTAAATCTAGAAGTCTTTTGGAGAAGTCTTGAGGAGTTTCTAGTTATATAATTATATAATCAAAGAGAGATAGTTTTATTTCTTCATTTCTAATTTGGATGCTTTTTATTTATTTTCTCTAGTTTCATTGCTTTGGCTAGGAATTCCAATGATAGCATTTTGTACGAGGTATAACTGTTCCTAATGGACTTTCAGCCTTCCCAGCCAGAGAGGATTATTACTAGAGATATGTTTACATATATCTCAGTATCTCTTCACTGATAACTTCCTATTCTTCTTATTTCCTAGCTTGATATTATGACCATTGAGGGAATCATCATTTTCCTTTAGATTATGATGTGATGACACAGGCAGAATGTGATGTCTGCAGGAGGATATGAGATCATCTTGAAATAACTAACACTGTGTAACATCCAATATTTTACTGAGGACCTAAACTATGCTTGAGGAATGTATTTTAAAACTTAGTCATTATTACTACAAACTGAGAATGCCTTTTAAAAATTTCTTAATTCTTTTTAAAAATAAAAGCATCACTCTGATTTCTTCCTCCAAAATTGCTTAACCTAATAATTGGGGCCATTAACTTGCCCAGTTAGAAACTTATGATATGAGTGTAGCTAAAAAGAAGACAGAGTTTGGGTGAAATAAATGCATTTTATTAATATTATGCTTGAGTTACCAAATTGTATTAACTGACAAGTCATTGTTGTTTAGAACTGGTACAAATGATCAGTTTCTTTATTCAAATTTAGCTTCCTAAACCCAGGCTGAAATTTGCAGTTACTCAAAGTGATGTTGTACCAAACTTCCTTCAAGCGCATGTTCTTATATAAAGTTCAGTGCTTCCGCTTAACATAATGTGCATTTTTTAAGAATAAAAATGTAGAATATTATAAAATAGTAATGATATGGCAAGTATGGCTTTTGAAACCAATACCATACAAATGGATTCTCACAAGTAGACATAAATGTGTGTGTGTGTGTGTGTGTATGTGTGTAATATGGTGTCAAATCACATAACTGAAGGGTCAAGAGAATCTTAAAAAATAAGAAAATACCAAAATCAATTTTTAAAAGTTTGGGGTTACATATTAGTTTCCTGGGGGTGCCATAACAGAGAAACACAGAGTGGCTTAGAACAACTGTTCTGGATGCTAAAAATCTGAAATGAAGGTGTTGGCAGGCTCTCCTCTCTCTGGGACCTGTAGGGCATGGATCTTTTCTTGCATTTTTCAGCTGCTGTCAGCCCCAGGTGTTCCTTGGCTTGTGGCAGCATCACTCCAGCTAGCAATGGTCTTCCTCCTATGTCTTTCACACTGTGTTCCCTCCGTGCGTGTCTGTCCCTGTGCCCCTCTTTGTAAGGACACCTGTCATATTGGATTATGACCCACCATAATGACTTCATTTAACTTGATTGTCTCTGTGAAGACTCTATCTCCCTATAAGTTCACATTGTGAGGGACTGTGGGTTAGAATATAGGCAATATATCTTTTTTAGGGGAGGACACAATTTAGCACATAATGGGATATAAGGATTTTTACTTTAATTTGGAAAAAATTCAGGATTTCCCCTTAAAAGCCTATACGTTTTATCTTTTTATGACACATAGTATTATCAAATTCCGTTGAAATGGCATTTCTGCTTTTTGTGAAATATTGGAATTTTGTCTGATAATAGCAAAAAGATTTATTAGACCCGACTTTGCTTCATAGGCATGGTTTGAGGCAAAATGTGACAGAATCATATAATAATGATTTATTAGAATCAAATTCTAATAGTTGCTTTATGTAAGTCCCTGTTTAAAGGAAGGTACATAAATTACTTTTGCCTAAGAATTTTGCTGAACATAAATTGCTGTTGTTCACCTTATGTGGTTTTTAAATACGTTCATAAACCAATGTTTTTCTTACATTTTGGGTGTCTACTGCCTTATCCCACCTGTGTTCCTGGATGATTGGAGATTCCAAGAAAGCAAAAAAGCACATTTGATCTATCAAATGCTGTTTGTGGAAAAATTACCTTTGTCCTCTCCTTGCCAGAGAAGCATAGCCCTGGATTAGCAGCTGTTCCATTGTTACTCTGTCAGTACTAGCAAACGATTGCATTTTCTAAGTTTTAGCACTTCCTTATTGGGTATTTCAAAAGAGAAACTTAACTTTTATATTGCAGTGAACCTTGCACGCAACTTTTATTAAGACATAAATGAGGAAGATCTGTTTTGATTAACATCTTCTAATTTTTTTTTTTTTTTTTGAGACTGAGTCTCACTCTGTTGCCCAGGCTGGAGTGCAGTGGCGCAATCTTGGCTCACTGTAACCTCTGCCACTCGGGTTCAAGCGATTCTCCTGCCTCCGCCCCCCGAGTCCTCTAATGAAAGATAATGCCACAATTTGGGATCCTGGGAAACTCACTCTTTAATGGCATTTACTATGCAGTATGTTTATTGGGGAGTTCCCTTGGGATCAGCATTCCAGGAAGATGGGAGAGACAGCAGGATTGGGCAGAGAAAGCTACTTAACTGTGATGTAGACCCAAGATGGTCTTGGTTAATCCCATGGAAAGTTCTGGAGGTAGAATGACCCGTCAGAGTTGTCTTTAGTTGGGACAAAATCTTTAGGCCATTATAATCTCTCAAAGCTCAGTCATTCGACGTGAGGGACCCTGAGAAGAGGCACAGGCTTGGGGAGATAACCTTCCTTAGCTAAGGCAATCCTTGAAGGAGCTAATGGCTGACAGACATCTGCTCAGAGTCTTCTCAATAACTGCAGCAGTGAGTTCTTATTTGCCGGGGCATCTGAGTAACACATCACAGTGTGCCCACAAGGAAAGATTCATAGGATAATTTTGAGAAGTGTTTTCAACCATATTTTTGCTGGCTATACACTATTAATATGAATTCATACAAGCTATGAAAAAGAATTTACAGTTGTATTTATTGCATAATAGCAAAAGAATCTGGTTTCTATTTTTGTTTTTACTTCCCTTATTAATCTTCTTGGAACACCACATAACTGAACATTGCTTCACCTCCATGGTGACTAGTGTTCACTGAATTAGAGAATGTGAATATGGGGTTATTTCTACTAAAAACGACTAAATCCTGTAAATGATGCCATCATCCTCATCTAATATGCTTTTTAGAATGTGAAGAAATATGTGTGTGTGTGTGTGAGAGAGAGAGAGAGAGAGAGTGAGAGAGAGAGAGTGGGAACATGCATGTAGTCCTGTGGAAATGCTACTTAGGACAGAATGTGGAAGCCTGAGCATATCATCATGACATTAAAAGGCATTTTGCAGCCGGGCACGGTGGCTCATGCCTGTAATCCCAGCACTTTGGGAGGCTGGGGTGGGCGGATCATGAGGTCAGGAGATTGGACCATCCTGGCTAACACGATGAAACCCCATCTCTACTAAAAATACAAAAAATTAGCCGGGCATTGTTGTGGGGGGAGGTGCTGTAGTCCCAGCTACTTGGGAAGCTGAGGCAGGAGAATGGCATGAACCCAGGAGGCAGAACTTCCAGTGGGCCAAGATTGCGCCACTGCACTCCAGTCTGGGTGACAGAGTAAGACTCCATCTCAAAAAAAAAAAAAAAAAAAAAAAAAAAAAAAATTTGCTTTTGTCTTTGCTACAAGTGTTCTTCCCACATTCTTAACACTGTTTCCGAACCCTCCTTAAAGCAAACCATATCTTGGGTCACAAAGTCCAAATCTGTTTTATAAGATTTCCACCTTGAATGTGCGTAATGCCCTTTAAAAATTAAATAAGTAGTGAACATTCAGTTGGCAGATCATTCTGAGTTGTGCTAAAACAAGAGGCTGGAAGAATACCCTTGCTTTCCGATAATAAGGGAAATAATTTTTAGGAAAAATAAATATCTTTGAACTTAAGAATCAACAGCCTAGATATAAAAGTTTCAAAGAGAGTGCAAAAATTTAACCCTGTTGCCACCTACTATTTTCCCTGTCACATTTGTCTTAAAGCACACAAGAGAAAATCTGGTCACTCATAACTATGTACTGCTAACTAATACATAGTGTCTGCTTGGTATTGATCCTCTTCTATTTTGAAGTTCAGCTAAATTAACTTTATAACATCTCCTGAAATATTACAAGATTTTGCATTCCGATCTAGTTAGTGCAAATGCCTGTTTGGGTTATTAAAATGGATTTCTATCTGGTTTCCCTATCTCTCCTTCTCAAAATCAGAAATGGTCAGTTTAATTTTGTAAATATGCAGCTGTATTTGAATCACATCCCTCCTCCAAAAACTCTGTGCACTTCAGTGCATAAAAAATTGAG
This sequence comes from Homo sapiens, assembly GCF_000001405.40. Lineage (NCBI taxonomy): Eukaryota > Metazoa > Chordata > Mammalia > Primates > Hominidae > Homo > Homo sapiens. The sequence goes on along the minus strand of NC_000008.11, from coordinate 16,360,859 downwards.
TAAAACTTTTTCATCTTAAATTCAAAGTCATTCCTAAGATTGTTTCAGTCCATATATATGCTCTTAACTTTACACTGCTCTTAATGATGTTCTCTACTGTATCACAGTCTTTTAATTTTCAGCCTTCATGAGCCCAACCAATTTAAGCATAATTGAACTCCAGGAGCTTAAATTAGAAGTTCATGTGATGATGTAGACCCTCCTTCCCTCTCTCATGTTGACGAGTAAGTTAATTGACTCAACTTTTAATACTTTTTATAACTTTAGTGTTCTGAAATTTTTACAAAAATAATTTTATTTAGTCATCTGTATTATGTGTTTCCTTTCTTCCTTTCCTTTTATTTTTGTTATACACCCTGTATTTTTCCTGTGAACTTCTTTTTTAAACATTTTTAGTTTAGGTTCAAGGGTACATGTGAAGGTTTGTTACATAAGTAAGCTTGTGTCATGACATTCGTTGTACAGGCTATTTCATCACCCAGGTATTAAGCCAATTACCCAATAGTTATCTTTTCTGCTCCTCTCCCTCCTCCCTCTCTTTAGTCTCAAGTAGACCTCACTGTTGTTTCTCTCTTTGTGTTCCTAAGTTCTCATCATTTAGCTCCCACTTATAAGTGAGAACACGTGGTATTTGGTTTTCTGTTCTTGCACCAGTTTTCTAAGAGTAATAGCCTCCAGCTCCATTCATGTTCCCACAAAAGACATAATCTTGGATTCTTTTTTATGGCCACGTAGTATTCCATGATGTATAGATATCATATTTTATTTATCCAATGTATCTTTGATGGGCATTTAGGTTGATTCCATGTCATTGATTTTGTATCCTGAGACTTTGCTGAAGTTGTTTATCAGCTAAAGAAGCTTTTGGGCTGAGATCATGGGGTTTTCTAGATACAGAATCATGTTATCTGAAGAGACATTGTAACTTCCTTTCTTCCTATTTGGATGGCTTTTATTTCATTCTCTTGCCCAATTGCTCTGGCTAGGACTTCTAGTACTATGTTGAATAGGACACAGATGAGGAAGCTGAAGTTCCAAAAGGCCAGGTCATTTCCTCCCTGAGGAGTGTTGAGAGAGGGCATCCTTGTCTTGTGCAGGTTTTCAAAGGGAATGCCCCCAGCTTTTGCCCATTCAGTATAATGCTGGAACTTGTTTCAAGTTTGCAATTTCAACCATGGAATGTGCAGGACGATACTGAACAATGTATGCTAAGATGGAATGGACTTGTAAATACCATACTTACAGCATTACTGTATGGGTTCAATATACTCTTCACTCTTCTATAAATTATTTTATCTTGCTTAATTTTAAAAATGACACAGCATCTTTCTGAATTGATATTCAAATAAACAGACACACATTTATTCCACAATTTACTTTTCAGTTTTTTTTTTATAAATCTTAGTATGGAAGTTTTTCAATAATCATTATATTTCACCATTCTTTTATTTGAGCAGATCATTTGAACTTTGTAAGTATAAACTTCTAGTCTATTTGTGTTAAAAATTCTAATTCTATTTTTTAGTCTGCTTTATATCAAAAAATCAGCTTAATTAGTGTCCTGGACAACTAAGTTGATAATTTGAGTAATATTTTTGACAAATTTTCCAAGAATGCAACATTGTGAACAAATAAATGAAAGTAATATGATGAAATTATTTTTGAGTAATAGTGACAGAAAAATGAGATACAATAGAATTGTGAAGAATACATAGAAAATGTGACAGAAATAATAGTCAAACATTAAAAATTGTAAAACTTGCCTCAGGCAAAGAAAGCCCAGGAAGAAGGGTTAGGACAAAATCTGTAAGTTTCCGGGCAGGAAAGAAAAAGTAATTAATCTACAAAAGAGACAAAAATTAAGCTGACTGCACACTTCTCAACAGCTCTAACTGTCAAGACAATGGAGAACTATATGAAAAGTTTTAAAAGAAAAAATGACATCTTTCTTGATAAAGACAGTAGGAAAACATTTTTGTTTATATAGGAACTTAAAAATACGCATGTTCTTTTTTTAAAGTACTTAAATTTGATGACCAGCAAACTGAGATGTTGAACAAAATTAAGAATCTAAGAAAACAAAACTTATACCATAGAATACCTGGCTCTAAGCACCCAAATCAAATAAGCAACAATATAGATAGCTATGCTATTGTTAGTATACTTACAATAGTTGAATACAAATGTTAAAAATTGATATTTCAACCAAATATTGTCATTTAAAAAATAGTCATCAAGTCTCTAGAATCTATGAACATGTACAGGGAAGTCGTTAGATAAGAAATAATAAGAAAATGAATAAATAGATATCCTCCCTTGCTTTGTGTATGTTTTCGTAAACATGCCAAAAGTACTTAATACAATAAAAGCAAATTATTCAAAACATTGAAGTCTACCTCAAAAATATGACCCCAAGTTGGAGCAAAAAAGAGAAAGTAAGTGAAATGTAAACATTAAAGATGAGTAAAAATATAACCTATGACAATAAAACTAAATTAAAGAATGATTTGTCTTAGAAAGGAAAGCAGGTGATGAGGCAATGCTCTAACCAGAGATTGCTGCAACAGGGCTCACCTCAAGCATGGAGGGCCTGTGATAGGGAACCAGCCAAGTGGCCATCATAACCGAAAAGACATGTGGGAGAACATCCCCATGGATGTACAAGCAGGAATCACAAAACGTCTGACAAAGGCCAATATCATGAGAGCCAACAGACTCTGCAAATGGGAGAAACCCTCATGGAAGAAATAGAGATAATAGTGGACAGTAAAGCAAGTATATTTAATACCCCAGTAGAGGCAGGGGGCGAATCAGATCTATTATCTAACAAGAACACATTTTAGTTCAGCGAAGTGCAGAAATTAGTGGTAAAACGCAGAAAATTTAGAAATATAAAACCTAAGTTTTTGAAATTAAATTACGTATTAAGGTGGGCTAAATAAGTGAGCTAGTACTAAATCAAGACAAAACAAACTAGGTAGGAGATGTTCCTGAAGACAGAACAATGGGAGATAAAGAGGGAGCAAGTGTGAAGAAAAAAGTTCAGCGGTATTAAATGTACACACACACACGTACACACACACACGTACACACGCACCCCACGATATGTTTTAAAGAAGTTCCAGAAAGAAATAATAGACAAACAACCTGTTAGAGCTGCTACCTTGAATAGGATAATAACAAACAGTAGCAATACATAGTACCAAAAAATGATGGAGGAGAGGAGAGTGCACAAAACATGTCATACCCCTGTCCAGAAGAACAAAACTCTTCTAACAAAGGCATCTCATTCCCTGCAAGGATATATCATTGGAGAAGGCATTAATAAAAGTACAAACTCTCCCCCGTTAAAATGGCTTTTATCCAAAAGATAAGCAATAACAAATGCTGGCAAGCATGTTGAAAAAAAGGGAACCCTTGTACACTGTTGGTTGGAATGCAAATTAGTACAGCCACTTTGGAGAACAGTTTGGAGGTGCCTCAGTAAACTAAAAGTAGAGCTATCATATGGTCTAGCAATCCCACTGCTAGGCGTATACTGAAAAGAAAGGAAATCAGTTTATCACAAGGATATCAAAAACTCCCATGTTTGTTGCAGCACTATTAGCAATAGCCAAGATTTGGAAGCAACCTACAGGTTCATCAACAGATGAATGAATAAAGAAAATTTGGTACATATACACAATGGAGTACTATTCAGCCATAAAAAGAATGAGATCCTGTCATTTGCAACAACGTGGATGGAACTAAAGATCGTTATGTTAAATGAGTTAAGCCAGCTATAGAAAGGCAAACATTGCATGTTCTCATTTATTTGTGTGATCTAAAAATCAAAACAATTGAACTTATGGACATAGAGAGTAGAAGGATGGTTACCAGAGGCTGGGAAGAGTAGTGGGGGAGTGGAAGGAAGTTAGAGATGGCTAGTGGGTGCAACAAAAATAGAAAAATAGAAAAATGAGTAAGACCTACTATTTGATAGCACAACAGGATGGCTATAGTCAATAGATAATTAATTGTACATTTTAAAATAACTAAAAGAGTATAATAGGATCATTTTTAACACAAGAATAAAAGCTTCAGGGGATAGATACCTCTTTCTCCATGATGTGATTATTACCCATTGCATGCCTGTATCAAAACATTTCATGTACCCCATAAATATGTATATCTATTAGGTACCCACAAACATTACAAATTTAAAAAATACAAATTCACATCTAAGAGGTGAGGAAGTAAACTGATAAAATCAGAGTTTAATATGGAAAAAGAAATTTCTGAGATAAGAAACCCTGAGACCACAATTCACATAATTGAATATCAAGTAAGTAACTTAGAACCAGTCAGAATGGAAGGGTTTTGAGCACAGCTGAAAAGTGAATATAAGCATGATAAAAATGCCTGGGATAGAGAGAGGCAATAGATGCATAATTAACATAATTACAGAGAAGCTGTTAGATAAGAACAGCAGAAAGAATATATCTGCCGTAAAAAGCAAATACTTATTTCTAAACTAGGGAATCTAACAAATGGAACAAAAATTATTGTCATATATATTAGAGACAAAACACTATTTAAATAACTTTATCTGCAGAATGAAAAATAAATTGGAGGAACAACATATATATAGGACACCATAATACAATTTTATATTGAGATACATCTGGATTATTAGTAACATGCAGGGATAAAGAAAGAATCCTTCAAGTAACCACGCAGAAATAAAACAAGTCATATACAAAAGGAAAAAAGTCAAGTTTACATGATTTTTTCATAGTATCTTTCAGAGTTATGAATAATCAAGTAGTATCTAGACATTCTGAGGGAAAGAAATTATTACCTAAATCTGTTAAGCAGAACAGGTGACCCTTGAACAACATGGGAATTGGGGGTGTCAGTCCCCTCCTCAGTAAAAAATCCACTGCAACTTTTGACTCCCCAGACACTTAACTACTAAAAGTTGACTAGAAGACTTACTGAGAACATCAACACACATATTTTGCATGTTACATGTATTGTATACTGCATTCTTACAATAAAGTAAGCTAGAGAAAAAATAATGATATTAATAAGGAAAATAAAATATATTTAAGTGCAAATAGATCTTTTTAAATGTCTTCATCCTCATCATCTTCACACTGAGCAGACTGAGGAGGAGGGGGAAGAAGTTGAAGAAAATCCATATATAAGTGGACCTGCACAGTCTAAATAAAGTGCATTTTGTATTCGAGTTCAAAGGCAGTAAGCAGACATTCTCAAAATTTCTTCATCTCCTGCCCCCTTCTTACTTCCTTCTTCCCCTTTCCTTTCACAGTGTTTCTACACACCTCCTGTGTTCTGTGAACTATTCTAGTAATTAAAGATTAAGTGGTTAACAAAATAAGGGTCTGCTCTCCTGAAAAAATTCATATGTGTGTGAGACACACAATATACAAGTGATAAATATAATTTTATACAATTTTAAATGTTGAATTTCATAGACCATTAGTGTTATCAAGAAAATGGAGCCAAGTTTAGGACCAAGAATGATGACTGATGACTATTTTTAATTGAGTGTTTTGGAGGGGACCTCCTTGGAAAGATGGCATGTGAATAACCCAAGTGTTTAGCAGCCTTATACAGATCTGGTGAGAGTGAATTCCAGGCAGAACGAACAACTAATATAATGTCTCACTGAAGGATAGAAGCTTGGCCATTCAAAACAGTTTGGAAGTGTGGAAGGAGATGATTGGTATAAGAAAACCGTTGGAGAGGAAGACAGGAGCCAGATCTTGTGTGTGTAACTGTGCGGCAAGTGACACACCTTTTTCCACCTCTGTTGGTGATAGCAGGGGAGTCCATTTCATGGAGAATAGCAAATAGCATAATGCTGCCAGCAGGAACAGCAGTCCCAGGACATCCAACTCACTCCATGGTTCAGAGTATCCAAGGAAGACACAACCTGCAGGCATGGTGTGGAGCAATGCTTTGCTCACATACAGAGGCAGGGCCAGATCAGCTTCCATTGTGGCTGTGGGTCCCCCATGGCCAGAACAAGCTCCTTCTACAGCCTACCTTTCCTCTTGTGTTGCAGGAGAAGGACTTCATAGTACACACGTACTAGTGGGGTTGGCGAGGTGCTATATGACACATACGCTTAAGTAGAGCAAAGGAACACATATTGAGATCGGTAGAAAGTAAGACATTCCCGTACATGGCCGTAAGGCCAACACAGACTGTGACTGCTCTTTCTGTCTTGGTAAGAAAATGTCTCCATCTCCAGGACCATTCTTGTGCAGCCCAGCATCATCAAAAGACTGCATGCATATGACTGCCTTTCCCAACAAGAGAGATTTTCTAGGACATGGTAAAATAATTTTATTTTCTTTTGCATGTAATGAGTCAATACTGGATGAGTTTGAGCTGAAGAATGTGGTGTTTTGCTTAACATTTTAAAAAATTCCTCCAGATTATTTAAATATGAGAGCAATATTTTAGTAAGGCGGTGACAAAGTTAAGTGGCTAGATTTCTAATGTCCGGAACGGGGCTTAGGCTCCTAGTAAATAATTACCGAATGAATTAATGAATGTGAAAGATCTTTATGGAGGAAATCGTGATATTTCAATGAGAGACATTAAAAAATATTTGTCTAACATCATCATTTCCTAAGTTAATTCCTTCAAATTGTACAATCCACTAACCCTATCGTCAAAATCTTCTCCCATTTCTATCACTCCTTAAGATTTCAGCACCAGGGCTACTCTCTCTCTCGTGACACTTTTATTTGTTGATGACTCTTCTAATAATTTGACTTCTTAATAATTTGGTCTCCTCTCCTCATATCCAGTCATTGACTTCAATTACCCAGCCCTATCACACTCTAAAACTTGTCATTACACAGAAATTCACCTTCTCTATAATAAAAATTTCAAGGATTTCAATCTCCAACTATTACATCTTACTTCTCAGTTCAATTCCCCTCGTTCACTGACTCCTGGAATTTTTTACACTGCTAGATGTAATTTCCATTCATACTATCTTCTTATCACTGTCTCTCATTGCTTCATATCCCTAATTTCATCTCTGCTACTTTAAATTGCACAAATAATCATTTAATAACTCCCATATTCACTCTTTTGCTCATTTCTGCTTCCATCATATTCTCCTAGTGAAATACTAACTCTAATTAAATGTATTTCTCCATTTACTCTGTTCCTGCTCGAAGTCACTGAACTTGGTTAGAAATAAACACATACGCATGGTGATTGAATTGACTTTAAATGCATGATTAATTATACCAAGTGAGCTAAGAGTCTTACAAATACACTTCTCTGTCACTCATTTAAAGGGTTATTCCACATCTTCATACCTTCACTCCTTTCAATTCATCATTCTCAACTTATAACCTTACTTCCTGTTTACTGACAGAAACAGAAATAATCAGAAGAAAAATTTCATAAGTTCCCATTACCACATATACCGCCACCATCTGACCTGCAGTGGTCAAAGAATAGCTCTGATTTTTCTGTTATTATAAATAAGCTCTCACTACTGCTATTTAGGGCTAATTGCTCCCCTTGGACATTAGATGAATTCTCTGTCTCACTTATTAAAGAAGAATACAGATAAAGCTATTTTCTGCTCTACCAACCATGACATCCATTCTCCTCGACAGGATTGTTCTTCTTAATATGCAAATATGCTTGACTCTCACTTAAAAAATAATACCCTGTCTTATTTGGGTAGGCAAACTAGATTGTAACAAGCAGAAGACTACCATTGACAATAGGTAGAAAATCTAGGAAAACCTACAAATATATCACAAGCTATCATCAGAGAATCACAGAAGACAATGGGAGACCAAGATTGTAAACATGGGCGAATCTTTAAGAAATGAGACAAGAATCTGCTGCTGCTGTTCTTCTGGGGCTTCTGTCAATTCCAGGCATTTGTTGTAGGCTCAGCATTTGGATTTATCCAAGACAGAAGATTGCTACCTGGAGCTTCTGGTGAGCACAAAGACATGAAGGGGCACAGTTCCAAAAATGTGGGCCTCAAGCAAAGAGACAGTATGTCCCTCAAGATTTGTGCTAAGTTCTAAAGCTGTGTGGGGTAAGCAACTAATGAGTTAAGATAAAATCGTTCTGAAAAGCAGAGCAAAATTTCTCAGTCTGGCAGTGATTAGGAGACAAAGAACTTCCGAGGGAGAAACCCTGGGAATACAGCAAATAAAAGACAGAAGTGTTGGAGGTGGTCCTGACTTGATGCTGCCTAAATACCCTATCATCAAGTAAAAATGTAGACTGGGGGGAAAAAAGACGTTTATACTGTTTGTAAGACACATTTTACATATGAGGACAGAAAACACTAGAAAATAAATGTAGAAGAACATATATCACAAAACACTAATGACTAGAAAAGTTGTCACTATACTAACCAACAGACGAAAGAAACTTTAAGGCAGGCAGTGTTTATAGAGAAAAAGAGGTATTTCTTAATAATGAGGGTCAGTTCACAAGGAAGATAGCATAATTTAAAATCTTCATGTCCCCAAAAATATAATTTCAAATGATATAAATAAAAATTATACAGAACTATAAAGGGAAATCATGGGGGAAGTTTTGATAGATGATAAAGATAGAAAAGCTATAGAAAGTCTGTCCATGCACATAAGAATGATGACCTAATTGACAAATCTGGAATACTGTAACCACCAATGTAGTAACTACAAATCCCTTCAGATACCCGTGGAACATAGGTGGTGAAAGTGATTAACCACCCTAAAGAAATCTCATAAGTCTCCAAAGAATTGAAACAATTAAGAGTATATTCTCTGAAAATAGTGGAATTCAGAAATCAATTCAAAAACAATAAAAAAATTAGAACATGCTCACTGCCTAAAAACTAATATACTTCTAAATAATTCCTGAGTCAAAAAAGTCACTGGAAAATTAGAAAATAGTTTGAATTTAATAATTATAAATATGTTACATAACAAAATTTGTGAGATGCAGCAAAAGCAGTATTTAGATAGAATTTTATAACCAGAAATGAACATGTAAGAATGGAAGGTTGAAATCAAATGAACTAACTTCAATCTCAAAAACTTAGAAGAATAAATAGTATACCCAATCAATAAAAAAAGGATTAATAAAGATAAGAACAGGAATTAATTTAAAAAACTAATACAATTTATAACGAACATAAAGCAAAAACGATGATGTTATAAAAAATTAACATCACTTTATAAAATCTCATTCAGGCTTATCAAGGAAAATAATACTCAAATTACTAACATAATAGATGAAAGTGAAATATCAAAGTGGATCCTGCAGACAGTGAAAAGTAATGAGAGACATATTCTGCTTTCATTTGGTGGATACAGTTCACTATTGGAACATCCATCCTGATTCAACATAGAAAATATTCGATATACAATTTCTGCACTTTCACACAAAGTGTTAATAATATATAATTTAAATGTGTTAATTATTGCATATTTCTGAAGTAGGAAGAATAAAAAATTTTACATAAATACGTTTGTGGTGACTAATTTAGAACACTGATACTAATTTATTGTAATTGATTTAATGGCACAAATAAGTAGTTATATTTATATAAACTGAAATATACATATAATGTTACCAAGCCAAAGCCAAGGATTTATGCATCTTGATAATAGTCGGATCATGTAATTTTGAAACAAAAGAACAGAATAATAGGTTCTTTTCTCACAAAAATATTCTGTACTTTATAAAACAGCAATAAAGATGATATGGTTCTGATCATACTGGAAACATTCCATTGATACATAGTTGATAGTCTAACCAAATGTGTTAGTCAAACATACAGTAAAATGACAGGCATATAAGATCCTCAAAACTCCTTGTGAATGATCAACTACGTTTTGGTAAAGTTGTGTTCAATCTCACTACTGAACATTTATTAAATCGTTCATTTCTATTCAAATTTGATCCGTTGTGCTCTTAATTTTATAAATTAAGGTGCTAATGTGTCATAGTAATAATGCAGTCCCTCTGTTTGCTTTGATATATGTCTTTCTCTCACTTTTAAAGTTGTTCGGAAATACTTGTAATATCAATTTATAATGTTAACTGTGCTTTACAACATACTAGGTCCTGGAGACAAACTAGTGCAGAAGGCAACCAACCCTGTCCTCACAGGACTTTCAGAATGCTCTCAGTCTAGAACATGATATATTCGGGGTTTGTCAGAAGGTTTTTCCTAACACAATAAGGGAGCTGTTATTTTAAAAACCAGAACATGGAAGTGAGAAGACCTGAGATCTAATCCTACTCCTCCTTAAAGATTATGTGATTATGAAAGATTCCTGTTTCCCACTGTTCTTTTCTTATTAAAGACAAAATTAGGAGTTCTCACACTGACTTCTACAGACCTCTACGTGTTCGGTGGTTGCACCTCCATGGCCAGAGTAAGGCCCTATTGAGCTTTGCTCCAGCCCAGTGTTGCCTCCAAGGAGCTGACAGCCTAACAGCAGGCACAGGCATCTGCAAGTAAATACAAGAGTTAAGATCCAGAAACAGAGATGGAAGAGAAAATGACATATAGGTGGCAGTTGAAACTTTACATGAAAAATAATTACAAGTTAAAAGATTTGCTTAATTCTTGCCAAGATATTAAAAGAATCTCACATTATATGTTTGAAAATTATACTTAATTTTTTACAAAATTTATTTTAGATTTTAAGTATTGATTTATTACTGTAATGATTAATGTTATGTGTCAACTTGACTGGGCTAAGGGATGCCCAGATAGATGGTAAAACATTATTCCTGGGTGTCTCTGTGAGGGCGTTTCTGGAAAAGATGACCATTGAATCAGTAGATTGAGTAAAGAAGATTCACTCTCACCTACTTGGATGGGCATTATGCAATCTGTTGAAGAGAGCAAAACTTGGATAGGAGAAACAGAGAAAGGGCAAATTCTTTCTCTTTTTGAGCCGGCACATACATCTTCTTCTGCCTTTGCATATTGGAGCTCCTGGTTCTTGGTCCTTTAAACTCTGCAACTTACAGCAGCATCCCCAACCCCACTTAGTTCTCAGGATTTTTGATTTAGACTAAATTACACCACTGCTGTCCTCGTTCTCCAGCTTATAGACTGCAGATGGTGGGTCTTCTCAGCCTCCATAGTTGTGTGAGCCAATTCCCATAATAAATTACATGTGTATATATATATATATATATATAATATATATATAAAATGAATGTATACAGACATATCCAACTTACTGTGGTTTCACTTGTAATTTTTCAGCTTTGTGATGGTGTGAAGGCAATATGCAGTCAGTCGAAACCATACTTCTAATTTTGAATTTTGATCTTTTCAGTGCTAATGATAGGTGTATTAAATATATTTTTGACTTACAATATTTTCAACTTACAATGCTCTTAAGTTGAGGAGCATGTATCTATCTATATATATAATTTTATATGCATATATATGTGTATGTATATGTGTATATACATATATACACACATACACACACAATCTTGGTTCCGTTTCTTTGTTGAAGTCAGACTAATAAAATAATCACAGTTTCTATTGCTTCCTAAAATGTGAGTCTAGTTAACAAACAGGTGTGAATCACTCACTCCAGACAAATGCCACAGCATCACACATGATGTGGTATAATGAACAGACTTTGCAGGATAATGGGAAAACTTACAAGCCAAAGTTGGCAAAAGAAGGTTCTTTTTCCTTCTTATCACCTAATAAAGCACCCTGCCTGCTTGGGAAATCTGATGGATTTACAGTTTTTTTCTGTGATTCAGAAAAGAAATCCACTCCTGTGTCATTCTTCCTTCTTAGTAGGCAAGCATGAGAGTGACATTGTAATGAAGTTGATAAGTTTAACATGAGGCAGTCCTGATCTGGGCGTGGGCTATTTACAGGACTTTTCTGAGCACTGTAAATGATCCACATCTGAGGACCATGGTGCTTGTGGGAAGTTACTGACTCTCCTATTAGACAACAGCAGCCACCTGGCATAGTGACCACCTTAAATGAAATGAATTAAGAGAAAAATAGTCTCATTAAAAAGATTGTTGTATATTTGTTAATGAAATTTTACAGCCATGGAAATGTAAAATTAGAAGGGAGTTTGGAGATTGAATTTCCTTTTAAATAAAATATTAATTTTACATATGAGGTGTGAGATTCAGAAGTAGTAACTTCTCAAGATCACACAGCTAGTTAGGATAAAAGCCCAGCTAAGACCCTGTGGTAAACTCTTCTAACATGACACACGCCATAATGCCTCTTGAATGTTTTGTGCTTTCTTTTCAATACTTTCTTCCTATATAACATTTGTCTAAATTATAATGAAGAAACAGTAAATATTCAATGGGGAGCATATGTATAAGGATTTACATAACTGTTGAAAAACAAATAGAATCATAAAAACTCTTTTCCTCAATCTGTCTTAGAACATTACCAGAAACACTACAGATGTATTTAGACCCAGATAATACTGAAAGTGTGTGTTTTGGGAATTGTTTTAGGGAGTGTAATGAGATGTTGAAAGATGAGTCGTGTAACTAAAGTGTAATTCCTTTGATAATTCAGACGTGATCACGCCCTTGTCTTGCTTAATTCCTGCAGTGGCTTTCTCTCTGGTTCTCCCCAAACCAAAGAGCAGGTGCTCCTGAAGGTCCAAGGATGTAGAAAACCTTTGCCCATAGCAAACACCAAATTTCTTCCCATATTGTTTTAAAGAAACATATTGCTAAAAGAAAAACGTGAGACTCACTTTTCATCACATATTTAATATATGCTTTTTACATAAAAAGAATTTTTGTCTAAATTTTCAAGAAAGCTGTCATTTACAAATTTAGTTTGATACATTTTTGCCTATCGTCAAGTCCTGATTTGAGATGGTTTAGCAAAGGTTTACAGTGCCCTTCGTAGTTTTTTTCCTGCATGTTTCTACCATCTCTCAATCCTCCTCTATTATTCCTATTCCAAATTCACAGCACAGTTTATGCATTTCTATGTGAAATTCCTTGAATGTGACATTATATTTCCAACCCTATGTGCATGAAATTTTTCTTCCGAGAATGCTTTGGAAACAACTTCTATCTCCTGAATGCCAGGCGTATTCTTTACTATACAAATTCTTATTTATCCTTCAATGCTCACTTTTGGGATGTACAGCCTCTTCTGTCTAGGCAAAGTTAATTATGTCTTCCTCTCTGCTCCATAGCAATCTGTGCATACTTCTATTAAAACTCCATTTAACTTCTTTCCCACTGCTTGCTTAAGCACCTAAGAAAAAGAAATATATTTCAGCAATCTCTGACTTACCAACAGGTAACATAGTGACCAGGAGTTTCTTAGCACTCAATATATAATTTCTATTAATATAATTTGATTTTAAAAATAAGTTTACAAACAACCAGGAAGCAACTTAGAAGTATAATTAATATTGGAGAGTCTAAGGTAAGAAGGAATGAACTCAGAAACATTTTCAGCATATTACAGGCCATATATTTAAAAAATTCACAGAGCTAACATCATAATCAATGGTGAAAGACTAAAAGTTTTCACCTAAGATCAAGAATAAGACAAGGATGTTCCTTTCACTTCTATTCCACAAAGCACTGGAAATTCTAGCAAGAGTAATTAGGCAAGAAGAAAAATGAAAGGCACTACATTGTAAAGTAAGAAGTAAAATTACCTCTCTTCACAGATGACATTATCTTATGTATAGAAAATCCTAAAGTTCCACAAAAAAGCTGGCTGGAACTAATAAATTAATTCATCACAGTTGCAGGATACAAAATCAACGTGGAAAAATTTGTTGCTTTTCTACAAAGTGAGAATGAACAATTTAAAAAGGAAATTAGGAAAACAATTCCATTACAATAGCATCAAAAATATTTAGTAATAAACTTAACCCAAGAGGCAGAAGACGCCTACACTAAAATCTATAAAATGTTTCCAAAGGAAATTAAAGAAGACACCAATAAATAGCAATATATCTTTTGTTAATGAATCAAAAGATTTAATGCTGAAGTGCCAGTACTTTGCACAGAGATCTACAGATTTCATGCAATCCCTATTAAAACATCAACAATATCTTTTGAAGGAATAGAAAAAGAAATCCAAAAGTTTATGTGGAATCTCAAGGGATTTTGAATAGCAAAAGGAGTCTTGAAATAGAACAAAATTGGAGGACTCACACTTCCCAATTTCAAAACTTACTGCAAAGCTACAGTGATAAAAACAGTGTGGTACTGGCATAAAAACAGACATTTAGACCAATGCAGAGTCTAGACATAAACCCTCACATATATGGTCAAATGATTTTCAATAAGAATGCCAAGATCATTCAATAGTAAAAGGTATTCTTTTTAATGAATGGTGCTCAGAGAACTGGATGTCCACATAAAAAAAGAATAAAATGAAGTTGGATTCTTCCCTTACATCATATATAAAAAGTTAATTCACAAAGGATCAGATGGCTAAATGTAAGAACTAAAAAACTCTTGCAAGAAAACGTGGCGGGGGGAGATTCATGACATTGGTGTTGGCAATGATTTCTTGGATATGACATTAAAAACACAGGCAAGAAAAGAAAAAAATAGGTAAATGGAACTTCATCAAAATTAAAAACTTTGTGCATCAAAAGACACCAACAAGAGAGTTAGAAGATAATTCCCAAATTGAAGAAAAAAATTGCAAATTATACATCTGATAGATTAATATCCAGAATATAAAGAATTCCCACAGCTCTACAACAAGCAACCAACCAACCCAATTAGAAAATAGGCAAAGGATGAACAGACATTTTTTCAAAGAAGATATAAAAATAATCAATTAGGTCCTGAAATGATGTTCATCACTAATCATTAGGGAAATGCAAATCAAAACCACAAGATACCACCTGGCACACATGAGAATAGCTATTATTTTAAAAATAGAAAAGAAAAGGTCAAGTGTTGACAAGGATTTGCAGAAACTGTTTTTACACTGTTGGTGGGAATGTAAAATGGTGCAGCTGCTGTGGAAGACAGTACAGAAGTACCTCGAAACTTACACATAGAATTACCAACTGGTGCAGCAATTCCACTTTTAGGTCTGTGCTCAAGAGGATTGAAAGCAAAGAACTGAACAGGTATTTGCACACAAATGATCTTAGCTGCTTTATCACAATAGCCATAAGTTGGAAACAACGACACAAATGTCCTTTAATGGATGAACGGATAAACAAAATCTAATACATACAATATAATATTTTTCAGCCTTAAAAAAGGAATCAAATTGTGATGTATGTTACAGTGTGACTGAACCTTGAAAACATTATGCTTAGTGAAATTAACTAGACACAAACGGATGAACGTTGTATAATTTCATTTATATGAGGTACTCAGAACAGTCAAATACTAAGAGATGAAAAGTAGAATAGTGGTTGCTAGGGGCAGTAGCCACTAGAGGTGAGAAGAATGGAGATCTGTTGTTTAATGGGTACAGCGTTTGGGTTTGAGATCATGAAAAAGTCCTAGAGGTGGATCGTGTTGATGGTCACACAACAATGTGAATATGCTTATTACCACTAAATTGTAAACTTTAAACATGTTTAAGATGAATTTTATTTTATGTATATTTTATCAAAATAAAAAAGAATGAATTGATTCAAATCTAAAATCAGAATTTTACAAGTGTGAACTCCACAGCTGTAAAATAGAAATATTCAGACGAGGTATTCCATGTAAGTGCAGTGATAAACTAGTTGGAGTAATATATGTAAAGAATATGGCACAAGGTCTGGCACAGTTTAAGAAATGAGAAACTGTCAAATAGTAAATTGAGTGTTATTTGGCGTTAGTTCAAATATGTGTCATTTCATCTTTTGCCTCAAAGTAGATTTCTAAAATACTATTATTCTAATAAAAGATAAAAATCTCCCATTTTTATCATAATTATAAATGTTTATTTGCCTTTTGTTCTTTAACCGCCAAGTGAAATAGAAAATCCTCATGTTTAAAAACCACCAGCATTTTAAAGCTCATACAAAAATAATTGAATTCATTTATTTCTTTACAAGTAATTTTCGTTTGTGACTTTGGGTTCAAAGTTTTATAAAATGATGTTTAATAACAACTTCAAATGTCAAAGATAAGTTTGTAGAAAGGTATTCTTTAATCTATTTTTAATGACTTAAAGTGAATTATGTGATTTTGTTTTTATAGTACCTGTTTGGAAAGGAGACAAAGAAAGGAATTAGGTTAAAATGCAGAGACAATAAAGCTATGGTGTAATTAGGTTTAAACATCTAGACCAGTAATGAACATACATTAGTTTAATGAAGAAAGCAATTATATTAACAAAAAATAGTTCTTTGATACTGTACATTTACATTCCATTGATGATCTGCAAATATGGATCAAGAAGAATTTTTAGTGGTGCCCTGTAAGTTCAGAATTCCCACCTCAAATTAGGTCAGTGCGAGTTAGCCAATGAAAGATGTACTAAACTCTACTCCTTCATTGCTACTATGTGCAAGGCATTGTACTAAGAATTTTACATATAAAGCCTCTAGTCTTTATTGAACTCTAATAGCCCAAGAGAAGTGATGAGTGTCAGTCTACGTAATATGCCTTACAAGTAGTAAGGGGAATGTAAAGATTTTAAATCCTAGTCTATTTCCTTCTTACGTCAATACTTGCTCTAGGGCTTCACAACGATGTTCTCATCAGTTCTACCATGTATATTTATTTTCATATCATTTTAACCCAGAAACTTATCAGAGCAGGTAAAGCTATCTAAATTTCTTGCCCTACATTGCTATGCAAAATAAAACCTTAGATGACTCCATAATATAATTTAGAATAAATCATCAGAATATGCTGAACCAGATAATCTCTATACATTTGCTAAGACATTAATCATCCACTTTGAAACTAACCCTGAAGAGGCTAAGTGACCACTTTTTCTATGACTCTCACCAGAAGCACCAGACCTTGGCTTCTCAAATTCTTTCATGGAATCTATGTACCAGATCCTTTAGAGCAGCAGTCCCCAAACTTTTTGGCACCAGGGACCGGTTTCATGGAAGATAATTTTTCCATGTACCAGGAGTTGGGGAGATGATTTCAGGATGATTAGCGTGCATTACATTTATTGTGCACTTTATTTCTTTTATTATTCCATTGAAATATATGATGAAATAATTATATAACTCATCATAATTAGAATTGGGAGCCCTGAGCTTGTTTTCCTGCAACTAGACAGTCCCATCTGGGAGGCTGTGAGACAGTGACATATCATCGGGCATTAGATTCTTATAAGGAGGTTGCAGTCTAGATCCCTCGTATGTGCAGTTCATAATAGGTTTCATGCGCCTCTGAGAATCTAATGCTACTGCTGATCTGACAGGAGGTGGAGCTCAGGTGGTAATGTGAGCCATGGGGAATGGCTGTAAATACAGATGAAGCTCCTCTTGCTAGCCTGCCACTCACTTCCTGCTGTGTAGCCCAGTTACTAACAGGCCATGGACCTGTATGGGGTTTTTGGCCTGGGAGTTGGGGATCCCTGCTTTAGAAGATCCCCCCTACCCCTAGTTCCTGTCGTCTTGTCTATCATTAGCATGCTTTTACAGATAGAAAACCTTTTATAAAAATCTCAGCAGCTGTTATTCAAAGACATGCTATTTGTCCTGTTAACACCAATATATGTGGCTAACATGTCTGTACAAATTTTATCAGACATTTAGATGAGGTACACATAATTAAATATAAAACAAGGTTTTGTTGCCTACCGATTATTAGGTGCTCCTAATCACATGCAGGGTATTTTTAAGCAAGCATTTTGTCTGCAATCTCATTTTTGAGTTGCAAACTGAAAAAATTGATTCAAATAAGCCAAAAATTACCTGTGGAATTGAATAGACTTGAATTAAACTTATTTTTATTTTGCATGGTAATCAGATTTGTTTTCTGATTGGTGGGAAGAGTTAAAAGTATTTTGCAGCCTTCGCAATGCCCGAGAAAGGACAATTGCAGCAAAATTCTTCTAATTAAATAAGATTCTTGGAAACACAGATCTGCAGAGCCAGAAGACTGCTTCTCTCAGCTCTGCTCATTCTTTGGAAAAATTACACATTTAAAGCATAAAATAAAATAATAGAATTATTTCACCATGAAAGAAGAAACGCTATGTAGTTAAATATAAATTTACAATGATATATAAAAATAATTCAATATTTATGTTAAATATCTAGCTCCTAATAGAACTAAGTTTAAGTATAGCTAAAAACTATCGGTCATTATTTTTGCACATTGTCAGATTGAGGTAATACAATTCTTTAAATGTATTTGGTTTTTTTTTCTGAATGTTTCCTCAGTGTAAAATAAGCAACAAAACCCATTTGTGCATTGAACTTCAGTAGGCAATGACTTGATATTTAATGACTGCAGGAAGCAGTCTTATGAGATCAGAGATGTTTTGTACCTTTTGATAACATTGTCCCAAATGGGGATGGCATGAAGCCAGTTGTATATTTCAGTTCTTTGTGCCCTGTATTGAATTACCTTACCAAGAATACTGAATTATTCTTATAAAACGTTTAAAATGATTTGTAGAAGAATATATTTTTTAACATTATCAGAATGAAAGATGAAATATACCAAAATAATGTGTCTGGGATTTTTTTTTTATTAAGTGGAAGCGAGGTTGTCAGCAAAATACATATAACACAGATATAAATAACATATCATGTGACTATTTATTCCTAATGATTTCCCATTCCATTGTATTAAGAGTTATTTTTTAAAAATCTATAAATATGAATTAATATCTAATTGCATATTTTGTTTCTGGTAATAATGTAAATATCTCTAAAGAACATCACTCATACCTGACATCTAAAAACGAGCCCAATAATCTACAACATCATTGTTGCTTTTGTTTGTTTTTTACCATAAAAACCTGAGTTTTTGTGAAAGTTAATGAACTAAATTCTAAATAGTGGTAAGCACTTTACGAGAGAGAAAAGCATCATAACAGATATCATCAACTCATCCCTGGTGGAGTAGTGGGAGGACTAGAAATTCACCATAGAAGGGGTAAAAAGAACTGCCCTCAATTTAAATGAGATGTTAATGATTGTATTCAGGCTGGAACACTGAACAGTGGCTACCACAGTGTAAGTCAGCACCTAGCTACCAATTCTTCTCCACAGGTGTTCACTGTGTGCCTGGGGGGCGTCACAAAATACCAGGGTCAGGGCAAGGTAAACCCCACCAAGGCACTTCAGACTTTTAGAAACTGATGGTGGGAACTTCACCAAGGCATGGTTGGAGGGCTAAAAGCAGAAAACCTGAGATAAGTTTCTCCTAAATATCCTCCACACCCATCACAAAGTGTAATGCATCTGTGCTTGGAAGACTGGAGACAGGGCAGGAGGCTAGAGAAACATCCAGAGGCCAGGACAGGAAGTCAGTGTAAGAGCAAGCCAAAAGCAGGACTAGAGAACAGAATCTCCCCTTTATTCAAAACCTGAAGCAAAGCTTCTCTGTGAAGCAAAGCTCTCATAATTCCTAAAGCTGAGTCCAGGCTGTAAAGAACAAATGGTTTATCAGAATAACATCAGTGTTCATGTCCTACTGAAGGAATACTTCTAATCTTGCGCTCAAAATAATAAAAGTCAATGGGAAATTGAATCAAAATTTGCAATAAATCTCAGACCTACTTCTACTATACATCTTATTGATTCAAGTTATTAACTCTAGCAGCCTAGCAGAATAAGGAAGTATCTCTGGGCAGGTTTTGTTTTAACATCAGTATTAATTTTATACAGAATAACTAGTACCCCCCCCCCGCAAATTACAAGAAAAATGAAAATGGGTCTCTCACAAGAGCACATAGAGTGGAAGAGACCCATAATCAAGAAGATAAGCAGTCAATAATATATATGGAAGTGACTTAAAAATTAGAACTGACAGAAAGGGTCTTTAAAATAATAATAAAAATTATAACATATCTAGTGGGAAAACAGACAATATGTAGAAAGAGGTGGAATATTTCAAAAAAACTATTAAAAATAGAAGCAATGGATATACTAGATATAAAATATAATACGTAAATTAAAAATGTGTTTGAGGGCTTTAACAGCAAGGTAGACACAACAAAGGTACGAATCAGCTTGAAGACAGATGTAGAGAAAGATCCAAACTGAAACACAAAGGGAAAAAAGAAAGGAGAGAACAAAACAAACAAAAGCAAAATAGAGTAGCCAATGTCTGTGGAAAAATATCAAATGGCATAATACACATGAGAATGGGGCAGAAGAAATATTTAAAGAGATAGTGTCTGAGGACAACCCAAAATTATCACATAGTACCAAATTACACATCTAAGAAACTGAGCAAATCTAAGGAGGATAAACAAAAACACATGGAACACGACATGGTTGCATTACAGAAAAACCACACAATATTTCAGGGTTTTATTTTGGGAAAAGTAAAGCCATCTTAGTTTAAAATGGTATTATATTATTCAAAGTGCATAATGGTCTCTGGGGCCCCAACATTTCTACAAACAGGAAGTAGTCTTAGAATATTGTTCCAAGGGTATAACTTCTAATAAAGTCTCAAAAGTGGCTACAGAAATTGAAAAACGAAGGGCATCCCAGAACGTGGAACCAAGAATCATAGAGAACATTGGGCTGGAGAGACACTTCCAAAAAGCATAAATAAAGCTTGAACAGGAAACATTCCCTGCATCCAGATCAGAAGAATCTTGCAACATGGGCTCAGCAGCAGAATTTGAGAATGGTTATAAACCAGTGACTACTATGTTTCTTTTTTAAATACCTCTTTTCAAATAATGGCATTTATTGCAGTCTTCCTACCCTTGTCTCATAGTTTGGTGTGTGGGAATTGGATAGATTTTCCTTTTAGTTTATCTTCACATCTAGAGGAACCACATCTGAAGAGCTCCATCTGGACCTGATGCAAATGATAATATCCTGGACTCCAAGCCTAGTGCAGGACTGAAGGAAGTTTTAGAGATCCTGGGTGAAGTGGGGCATATTTTGCATGTAAGAGGGATGTGGCCAGAGGGTGAAGTGTGATAGAGTAATTACATTGATGGCCTAATATTCATTTTTCCCATTGTAATAATCTGAACCATCTCTTGATTCTGGGCTCAGTCATATAAACGGTTTGGCCAACTGAGGTCAGCAAATATGATGCAAACAGAGCTTGCAAACTGCTTGCAAACTCTGTATTGCTCTCTTGAACCCAGGCTTTCACGATAAGAAAATTCCCAGGGTAGTCTACTAGAGGGATGTGAGGAACATGTTGAGAAGAGTTGCAACATACCATTTATGTCTACTTATGCCAGCTGGCCTAACTGTTCTTGTTGATACCAGCTGAAAATAGTGGTATCCAGCTGACCCCTGAACATATATAGGAGTTCAGGGGTGCCAAGAAAACCCCTCTAGGCAAACTCACTGTAAGTTATTGATCCAAAATGAGCTAAATGTATGATTCTTTTTTAAAGCGATGGGATATTTGATGAATTGTTATGCAGAAATAGCTTATTAACTCACAAAAATACAGTGTTCTTCTAGTTCTCTACTTGAATGATACCTTCCAAAAAAGAAAATAAAATGGTGCTGGCAGATTCCTAGTATTCATAGATTCCCTTGCCAGCTATTCACTACTCATTTTTTTAGACTTTTATGGTTCTGAAATCCACTGTCTTCCCTTTCTGTGAAAAGAACTGCATTTTCCAGTTTGCAGGGATCACACTAATCTCCCCAGTTGCAATTACTTTAACTAAGATTTTAAAAAGGAAAATACAGTCTCACAGTTCTCTAGATTTTTATCTCCCCTTATAACACCAAATTTCTTAGAATTAATTCTTGGTGGAATTTTGAGGGTTATTCCACTGAACCCTGCACATAGTGTGAAATACAAGTTACTAAAAAGTTCAGTGTTTCCAGGACTTTAAGATGCTGAATATTCGGGGGCATTAAGATGTTCTTTGAAACCAACGAGAACAAAGACACAACATACCAGAATCTCTGGGACACATTTAAAGCAGTGTGTAGAGGGAAATTTATAGCACTAAATGCCCACAAGAGAAAGCAGGAAAGATCTAAAGTTGACACCCTAACATCACAATTAAAAGAACTAGAGAAGCAAGAGCAAACACATTCAAAAGCTAGCAGAAGGCAAGAAATAACTAAGATCATAGCAGAACTGAAGGAAATAGAGGCACGAAAAACTCTTCAAAAAAATCAATGAATCCAAGAGCTGGTTTTTTGAGAAGATCAACAAAATTGATAGACCGCTAGCAAGACTAATAAAGAGGAGAGAGGAATCAAATAGACACAATAAAAAATGATAAAGGGGATATCACCACCAACCCCACAGAAATACAAACTACCATCAGAGAATACTATAAACACCTCTATGGAAATAAACTAGAAAATCTAGAAGAAATGGATAAATTCCTCGACACATACACCCTCCCAAGACTAAACCAGGAAGAAGTTGAATCTGTCAATAGAGCAATAACAGGCTCTGAAATTGAGGCAATAATTAATAGCTTACCAACCAAAAAAGTCCAGGACCAGATGGATTCACAGCCCAATTCTACCAGAGGTACAAGGAGGAACTGGTAGCATTCCTTCTGAAACTATTCCCATCAATAGAAAAAGAGGGAATCCTCCCTAACTCATTTTATGGGCCAGCATCATCCTGATACCAAAGCCTGGCAGAGACACAACAAAAAAGAGAATTTTAGACCAATATCCCTGATGAACATCGATGCCAAAATCCTCAACAAAATACTGGCAAACCGAATCCAGCAACACATCAAAAAGCTTATCCACCATTATCAAGTGGGCTTCATCCCTGGGATGCAAGGCTGGTTAAACATACGCAAATCAATAAACATAATCCAGCATATAAACAGAATCAACGACAAAAACCACATGATTATCTCAATAGATGTAGAAAAGGCCTTTGACAAAATTCAGCAGCCCTTCATGCTAAAAACTCAATAAATTAGGTACTGATGGGACGTATCTCAAAATAATAAGAGCTATCTATGACAAACCTACACTCAATATCATACTGAATGGGCAAAAAGTGTAAGCATTCCCTTTGAAAACTGGCACAAGACAGGGATGCCCTCTCTCACCACTCCTATTCAACATAGTGTTGGAAGTTCTGGCCAGGGCAATCAGGCAGGAGAAAGAAAGAAAAGGTATTCAATTAGGAAAAGAGGAAGTCAAATTGTCCCTGTTTGCAGATGACATGATTGTATATCTAGAAAAGCCCATCCTCTCAGCACCAAAATCTCCTTAAGCTGATAAGCAACTTCAGCAAAGTCTCAGGATACAAAATCAATGTACAAAAATCACAAGCATTCTTATACACCAATAACAGACAAACAGAGAGCCAAATCATGAGTGAACTCCCATTCACAATTGCTTCAAAGAGAATAAAACACCTAGGAATCCAACTTACAAGGGACGTGAAGGACCGCTTCACGGAGAATTACAAACCACTGCTCAATGAAATAAAAGAGGATACAAACAAATGGAAGAACATTCCATGCTCATGGGTAGGAAGATTCAATATCATGAAAATGGCCATACTGCCCAAGGTAATTTATACATTCAATGCCATTCCCATCAAGCTACCAATGACTTTCTTCACAGAATTGGAAAAGACTACTTTAAAGTTCATATGGAACCAAAAAAGAGCCCGCATTGCCAAGTCAATCCTAAGCCAAAAGAACAAAGCTGGAGGCATGACGCTACCTGACTGCAAACTATACTACAAGGCTACAGTAACCAAAACAGCATAGTACTGGTACCAAAACAGAGATATAGACCAATGGAACAGAACAGAACCCTCAGAAATAATACCAAACATCTACAACTATCTGATCTTTGACAAACCTGACAAAAACAAGAAATGGGGAAAGGATTCCCTATTTAACAAATGGTGGTGGGAAAACTGGCTAGCCATATGTAGAAAGCTGAAACTGGATCCCGTCCTCACACCTTATACAAAAATTCATTCAAGATGGATTAAAGATTTAAATATTAGACGTAAAACCGTAACAACCCTAGAAGAAAACCTAGGCAATACCATTCAGGACATAGGCATGGGCAAGGACTTCATGTCTAAAACACCAATAGCAATGGCAACAAAAGCCAAAATTGACAAATGGGATCTAATTAAACTAAAGACCTTCTGCACAGCAAAAGATACTACCATCAGAGTGAACAGGCAACCTACAGAATGGGAGAAAATTTTTGCAATCTATTCATCTGACAGAGGGCTAATATCCAGAATCTACAATGAACTCAAACAAATTTACAAGAAAAAAACAACCCCTTCAACAAGTGGGTGAAGGATATGAGTAGACATTTCTCGAAGACATTTATGCAGCCAAAAGACACATGAAAAAATGCTCATCATCACTGGCCATCAGAGAAATGCAAATCAAAACCACAATGAGATACCATCTCACACCAGTTAGAATGGCAGTCATTAAAAAGTCAGGAAACAACAGGTGCTGGAGAGGATGTGGAGAAATAGGAACATTTTTCCACTGTTGGTGGGACTGTAAACTGGTTCAACCATTGGGGTAGACAGTGTGGCAATTCCTCAGGGGTCTAGAACTAGAAATACCATTTGACCCAGCCATCCCATTACTGCGTATATACCCAAAGGATTATAAATCATACTGCTATAAAGACACATTCACATGTATGTTTATTGTGGCACTATTCACAGTAGCAAGGACTTAGAACCAACCCAAATTTTCAACAATGATAGAATGGATTAAGAAAATGTGGCACATATACACCATGGAATACTATGCAGCTATAAAAAATGATGAGTTCATGTCCTTTGTAGGGACATGGATGAAGCTGAAAACCATCATTCTCAGCAAACTATCACAAGGACAAAAAACCAAACATCGCATGTTCTCACTCATAGGTGGAAAATGAACAGTGAGAACACTTGGACACAGGAAAGGGGACATCACACACCGGGGACTGTTGTGGGTTGGGGGGAGGTGGGAGGGATAGCATTAGGAGATATACCTAATGTAAATGACAAGTTAATGGGTGCAGCACACCAACATGGCACATGTATACATATGTAACAAACCTGCATGTTGGGCACATGTACCCTAGAACTTAAAGTATAATAAAAAAGAAAGTAGATAGTGTTCATCTATATGTGTCATTGGTCCATCATAACATTTCTTTTTGGTATTTTGAAATAGCATGTTTTACATTGAAATTTAATCTTATAATTGTGATTATTGAAACTTCTCTAATTTCAACTGTGACATACTTCTTTTTTGAGAGTTTCCTGAAATTGTCATTTGTAGTAAACCGTTTATCCTTTCTATTCCAGTTTATACTTGTGAGCTTCTGATTCTCTAAAGCTTTAAATATTGTAATTAAAATTGATTTATTTGTTTTAGGTTTTTAAAAGTTAATGTCCTAAATCTTAGCATATTAAATTCTGTGGTTTTGTTAAATTTAGATGCAATGTTTTCTACTAATTACACAACTTTCCTAGAGGGTTTATTTAGTCTTTAATATTGTATCACAAAGTCAAGAAAGTACATTTTCTTTGAAAGCAGAGGAACTTGAGAATATACTGGCATTGAATGCAGTCTTTTGTTTGCTGAGACATTGAAATTATTTCGATGCAACAAATTGTCTCTGGAAATATATATAATTTCAGAATATTTACTCCAAATGTACGTGTGTGTGTGTGTGTGTGTGTGTGTGTGTGTGTATCATGTAGTACTTCATGCTGGGTGTAAGTAGGGATGAATAGTATATACATATACATATGTGCATATATATGTGTGTATGTGTGTGTGTGAGTTTGTGTGAGTGTATTCTGTTTTCTGAAGATTGAATCTTTCTCTTGGATATGAAATCTGAAGGAATTAATATATTCAATCATCACCATCTAATTCTTAAATTTTCATAACGTTTTCCCCTTTTTCTCTATTTTAACCTTTTGGGTCCACTCTTTCATTAAACAAAATAGTTCCCCGCTGGACACAGTGGCTGATGCCTGTAATCTCAGCAATTTGGGAGGCTAAGGTGGAAGGATTGCTTGAGGCTAGGAGTTCAACACTAGCCTGGGCAACATAGCAGGACCCTGTCTCTACAAAAAGACTTTTAAAAATTAGCCAAGCATGGTGGCACATGCCTGTAGTCCTACCTATTTGGTAGGCTGAGGCAGGAGGATCGCTTGAGTTCAAGGCTGTAGTGAGCTATGATGGCACCATGGCACTCCAGCCTTGAGCAACAGACTGAGACTCTGTCTCTTAAAAGAAAAATAAAGTTTTTTTATGTTTCTTCTTGGATAGTCAAGGGACTTGGGCAGAGACATGTTCTCTTGATCAAATTATTCTTTACATGCAGCTCTTTGCCTGAGCTAATGGAGAGAAGATTGTATCTTTTTGTTTAAGAGTTTGAAAATGTCATTTGAATTTTCTCGAAGGTAAGATAAAGCAATCAAATAAGAATTAAGGCAGAAGTCTCAGGATTTTCTATGATCTTTATTGCTCCTATAAAATCCCAATTTGTGCTTCTGTCATCATCTTGCCTCCATATTGATACCTTGACAATTTAAGAAACGAGCTAAGAAATAGATCTGTTTGTTTGGTTGGGCATTTTTCCCCACTATTTTCTGGTGGTCTGACTGGAAATGTCTGCCTAGAGGAGGACCTCATTGAACTGTGACAATTTTTCCCTACCCTTTTATGAGAAATAGGGCTATATGTTCATGTTCATTGTGTATAACATTTATTCTCTTAAAGCAGGCTATTTTTTGACAAAAATGGAAAATCTGACTGTGAATTTTTGTATTTGTCTTCTCATTTCTGAAGCATACTGGCATTTAATCTGGAGTCTGACACCTTGTTTAATAAGTTTTTAAAAAATATCTCAATATTTTCCAATCTGTTTACATCATCTCATTTTTATTCTATGATGTTCACAATTTATTAAAGATAGAAAGAACATTGCTCTTCAACATTTATAAATCTTCTAGTGGCTCTCGGCTGTATCTAGTAAAGAAGGATTTTAAAAATTAACAATGTATATTCTTAACCACGTTACAAATGTGTGTTTTTAAGAGAAGACATAATTTATCTTTCTAATGGTTCACTTGAAATTGCCAAAAAGATATAAAAACTGATATTAATTTTATTGTTTTCTGTTATATTCAGAATTATTAGAAGGCAGCATAAGACAATATATTGCTTGGAAAAGCTTCTTCCTTAAGAAAGTACACTTTTCTACAGAAATATACTTTTTTTTAATTTCAAGAAACTATAGGTAAATGTTATATAATGATTCTGAATAACACTTTGCTCAGAAGATGGTATATTGATATATAATTTAAACATCAAATATAATTATATATTTTTATTTTTATGATGATTTGTACAAATATAAATTTGAAATTAATTTTATGGCACTTTCCAAGAAAGAACAACTAATAGTAACTGAACCCTTAAATACCTCTGGAAATGGTATAAATTTGACATTCATTTTGATCTTGAAATATTTATAATTTGTGAATGAGAAATGCAGAAGAGAGTTAAAAGAGATCCCTTGGCAAGTGATAATAGTGAGATCGAAGGAGAAAATCAATTTTACAAAGAATGATGCTTAAAAAGCCTTTGTATTATTCAGAGAACTCTTGTTCACATCACTGACCTTCGAAAATTCTCACTGTGATAAAACAAAGCAAAATAAATAAATGATAAACAAGAAGTGTCTACCATGTTGTTTTTATCTCTATCTTCTATTGTGGTTATAAAGTCTTTCAACAAAACCATTATCTACCAGCTTAACAATGGTTAACCTAACCTTACTTAACTTTCTGAACTTCAGTTTCTCCTCATATAAAATGAGAATGATACCAACTACTTTAGATAGATCATTCTGAATATTAAATAATATATAATATCAACATCTATCCTAAGTAGTCAGATAATGCGTTTTTATCTTTTGTCTCTTCTCTTTTGGAAATTTAATTTCCTATTACGTTGTTGGTAATTAATATTTCATTACCATTTTCTGTTTTATCACTTGGTTAAAGTAATTTTTTCTGTAATTATAAAGTCAAAGCTTGTATACTTGTAATATTTAGGGCAGCATGAATGTTTTAGATTTTATCTTAGTATTTGTTCTTTTGATCATGGCATGCAGGTGATTTCTTGGGGCATATTTACCTGTAGATTCAGAGATACTTCCAGAAGGTATGATGTGATTCTCAAAATAAAACCTTACTTTAAGTAGTACTTTTTTCTTTCTAATTTGTTCTGGGTAGTATTACTGGAAAAGGAAAGAAAAGTAGATTCAGATAAATACATCTTTTGAAATTTTAATATAGTCATCTTAATGTTTAGAAGGTGTACTAATGATTGATCATATAATTTCAAGTAGTAAATGTAAAAATACGTGTCATGCTCTTCTCATATGTAATTCAATTTCAAAAGAATAAGATGTCTCCCCCTTCAGAATGGATGATGACACATACTGATTGAAAAATCACTGAACACCTCCCAATGATTATCAAAAACTTTTGAATCAGATTTATCGTCAGCTCTGAAGGATTAGAAACAAGGGAAGAGTTGCAACTATTCAAACAATTTCTGAGGGCAGAGTAAAGGGGACTGCACTGAGTTAATTTGGTGAAAATTAGTAAACTAAGCTTAGCTGTAAAATTGAAAGAATTATTTAAACCCAGATAAAATATAATCTCCCTTAGATGTTAATTAATCCTAAACATTGGAAAAGATATGGTAATGCAGAATAGAAGGAACAAAAAATACCTTGTCAGCCTAGGACAACCTGAAAGAAAATAAAAATATTACAGACTGGGGTAAGCTAATTGAGAAATGTGGCACCACAGCTGGGAATTTGTCAACTGTTTTTTAATTTATGTTACAAAATTCCTTCACTAACTATAAAAATAGATTCTCCCCTCCCCCAACCTAAGATAAGCCCTTTTTCATTGAACAATAAGGAAACTAACCCTGTAGATCCATACTCATGCATGTTCTCCCAGTCCTCACTTGTATATATTAACCAAGATTTGGTGATCTTTTGGTGCAGATTTTGTTCTTCTGGAATAGAAGTACTTGCCAATCAGGCCATACCAAGTCTTAATCTTACTCCTCAGAAGCAATGAGCAGAGATGGGAGCAGATCTTGAGGAAGATAAGCATTGATCACCTGCCTTAGATGATGAATTTGCATAGTCTGCAGGCATTCTTTTAGAGGGGAATGGGACCACTTTTACTAGCCGAGGCAATCTGGTTTCCTGACTTTATCATAGGAGCCTTGTTAGAGCTGCCAATTTTGCTTTCTTTGGAACTCTGTTCTTGTCACAGTTAGATCCTGGACTCGATTTTCAGCACATTTCGTTTCCAACTGCTGGAAATGAAAGACCCTCTGGGTACTGACATGGAAGCTTCCGGGCTTTCATACATGCGCTGAGTTGACAGTTGACTACCACGATTCTGCCATTTTCTTCAGTAAATGTTTCATTGGTAGTTAACAGCTGATTTCATAATTCTTACATATTTACCATTTTACCTATGTCTTTCATGCAATAGGTTGCATTGGTCAGTCCATCCCTTTTTATACGACCTTCATCCCAATTCCCTTCAGGTAATTGGGCAGTCAGGCATTGTTACCATTCTTAATCATTCTTAGTAATAGGGTCTTTGTTGCCATCTGGCAGGTGAGTAAACAGATTGCAAAATTTCATTCTGAGGGCTCTGTTTTTTAGGACCACTTCTTGTACTACGTCTTTTGATTGTAGTGAGGTAAAAGAGGAAAGGCATGGAAGCCTATAACACGATCATGTTATCAAGTAAGTGATCGCTGTGGTCACCTTTAGGTCAAACCTATTAGGAAAATCTGGGAAGCCGTAGAACATGCCTCAGAATTGGGCTATCAGAGGGGAGAAAGAGCTGAGAAATTCTCCATTTCCCATTAGTCAGTGTTTGACTCATGTTCCTGGAGTGTATTATTAGTTTCTATCCACTTCCAGATTGACTGCAAGAACCCAGAGAAAATCCTTAGGGAGAGTTAAAGGCTCTGGCAATTAAAACTTAAGGTGGCAATGTAAAGAGTGTTAGGTTGACATGGACAGAACAATGACAGAATGTACTAGAAAAAAAAAAGTTAAAATATCCAACGCCTCTTCGACTAGCGACAAAAAGGGTAAAAATTTTGATTAGCATATGTCTGAAATATTAAGTATGCATGTCTTCATTTCTGGAATAATCAATTTAAAAGACAATTCTTTGTAATATGTACCATGTTCTACTCATAATTTCCTTTTGCCTCTAAGCTTAAAGATGTCTTTGATAGGTCAAATGTAAAACTTGGTCCCTTTGACATTGGGATAAATTTTCCAAAAGCCATTAGTCTCTACAGTTTCTTTGTGTCAATTTACCAGATATGCTTAGAAATATCAAAATCTCACTTAGAATTAATCTGAAATTATTGTCATATTAATACATTAGAATAATTTTCTCAAATACATAGAAATTCAGAGAATATTCAACTGAATACACTTTTGAAAAAGAAAATTAGAAATTTTACTCCGATTAAATATTTTCATTCCCATGCTCATGCCACATATAAACAAAAGAAAATGAGATTTTCATCAGATTTTTAGACATTAATATTCAAAATTAGTAAACAGTTGAACAACGTCTAATGATAAGAAAAGAACTTTTGAGGCAAGAATTTTAGAATTCACTGGCCTTCGAATCAGACAAAATATTTTGAACACAAAATAACCCAGGAAATATTGACTTTGTGATTACTCCAGGTGCTAACTGAGGATATATTTCACTTAAACAAAACACTGAGAAAACTACATTAGGCAAATTGGTGGTGAACACTGAATATTATTAATTATAAATTAAGAACGAAAAAGGCTGGTATAGGGGAGACAAAATGATACATGCTCAGAGAAAAATTTCAGATATGTAAAAAGGATAGATAGATGATAGATATTTTTAAAATATATATATGCACATATATAGTATATATACACTTATATGCTATACATTTATATATAGGCATATGCTCACCTATGGTGAGTATATATGAAAGAGTAGATATGTGTATATGTAAACACACACACACACACACACACACACACACTTACTCGAACACACACACAGTAATCACTATGGTCAACTCCAGGTCAAACCTGTTAGAAAAATCTGGGATGCAGTAGAACATGTCTCAGAATTAAAGTATCAGAGTGGTGAAAGAGCTGAGAAATTTTCCAGTTCCCAATAATCAAATGTTTGGTGACATTTCAGAAAATTCAATGCTTGACTAGTCATGTATATATACATATACATACATATACATATACCTACATATACCTAACCACATACATAACATATAAATGTTATATGTTAAGGCACTTCAACTAACAAAAAAAAAGTATATTATAAAATAAGCCCACTTATTGCCTCATAGATGATCACTTCAAGTAAAAGCATTTTATTAAAGTTGATAAAAAGTGAAAGCAGACATATATTTTTGAACACAAAGATACACATCAAAAAAGATAACATTATTAACTAAATTAGGATGAGAGGATAGGAAGGGATAAAAGGACAATAAATTTTATTTTTTTCATAAAAGAAATGAAGAGGAGACTGAAGATATGAATATAAAATGACAGAAAACTGCAAATACTCAAAATAGTAGAATGATAATGGCAAAAAATAACACAGAGAAACACAGCAGATACTGAAAAAGTGTGCGTATGTCTGTGTGTGTATGTATATATAAGTATATTTTTACATGAATATCACAATATATGAAATGGTAGTTGTATATATGTACATATATATACATACATGTACATAATACACACATATATGTAAGATTCTTAGGTAGTTTTGTCTTTGCATTTTTAAAGTACTTTATCTCAAATTATACAGCTTGGCAAGTGTACAGCTACAGATGGAGACACTGTGTATATGATAGGAAGTATCAAGGTAGTTTTGTTACCTAAAAAAAAAATCTACAAATTTTTCTTCACCCTGTTAAAATGGCGAATGATTTTTTTCTGGGAAAGTATCCAAGTTTACTTGAATTTTATTTCCTTGAACAATAATTTTCTCTTTCTATATGCAGAATCCAAATATAGATTTTGGTGGCATTTCTGAAAATTCCATGCAGTTTAGTTTTTGAAAATTTGTAATAGTCTCTTACTAACCACCTCTACCCAGAAAAGGATGTTAGGTAGAAACTTGTTATTTTATCCTCAGAACTTCGTAATGCTAAACTGAGGCTTTAAGGTCTGTCAACAAACCTAAAATTGAAATCATCCCTCCCTTAATGATTCCAATCCAACTGTGCTTTGTGATAGCTTTTCTCTGTGATGGCACCATGCATTTCCAAGTCCATCAGATTCAAAACTGTTGAACTTTCATGTTTCTCTCACTCCTCTTCCGTTATTCATTGGTTGTCATGTCTTAGTCATTTTTTCACAATGCCGCCTCACATTTCATACACCGGCTTTCCATTTCCTCATCACTGCCCACTCATTTTCACAATCATGAGAGCTTCCTAACTTGAAAGATCTCTCTAACACACCGTGCACGCTACTGCCAGATGAATCTTTTGAAACTCTGCTCTTACCATATCACACCTCAGCTTGGAAAATTTCAATAATTCTCGTGTTTTATAAAATTAAATCCAAACCCCTTGACCTAGCACCTAGTGCCAAACAAACTCTAATTCTGATCACCATCTCATATTTTCTGTAATTACACCAAGCTGATCTATTTATTGCTTCCCAAACCAAATTACATTTACTGAAAGGCTACAGGGTGGTGTACAACATAGACTCTGGTGCTAAAATTCCCGGCTATGAATACTGGCTTTGCCACTTGGAAGCTGGGTGAGCTTAATTAAGCATTTCTTAACTTCTTCATGCCTTTGTGTTATCTGTGTAATTGACATAATGATAGTGGCTACATCTTTTGAGTTATGAGGATTTAAGAAAAGCGATAAAGCACTTATAATGGGGTCTAACAGAGTAAGTGGTTGTCTAATGTTAGTTGAAATAAAGCACGTCTGGATGTTTCTGATATAACTATTTCTATTTGTTTTTATTTCGTCATTGTTTTGTTCATTTTGCTTTACA
This sequence comes from Homo sapiens, assembly GCF_000001405.40. Classification (NCBI taxonomy): domain Eukaryota; kingdom Metazoa; phylum Chordata; class Mammalia; order Primates; family Hominidae; genus Homo; species Homo sapiens. The sequence goes on along the minus strand of NC_000008.11, from coordinate 16,327,623 downwards.
AAGTTAACCTCTCAATAAACATAGTTTTAATTGATTAATTTTGAGTTAGTGTAGATAATGACAAATAGAGATTACTAATTTAAATATCCTAAAAGAGGATCTTAAAGGACCTTACTTACTAAAGTAAATGTTTCTGAAAAGAAAAAAGGGGGGAAGAGACTATTTGCTTGGTTGTCAAATTTAAGAATTTGCTTCATATATGGATTTATTATTGCTAATATTTATTTATGTAATCATGTGATTTTATAAAAACTGGCTAGCACTTTGTCGGCTTAGTAATTGAATAATTTGAACATTTTTAAATGTTTTAAAACATTAACAGAGGACGACATTAGTTTTTACAATGTATTTGTCACCTTCCTCTTTATAATGTATCAAGTAAGCATTGTGTTTTAATTTGTGACTTAAGAAAAAAATGAAGTTTATATCTAATTCAGAGATTTTTACTTGGAACTGGAAGACAATTTTGACCAATTTTGTTGTTTTTTTTAAGTGACAATACTTGACTTGCCCAGGATCACAGAGTTCACTTGTCAAATTCAAGATGAAAACTCAGAATTGCCACTCCATGTCTTTTGCAGATTTCCACATGGGGCTTGTAAAATACAAATTCAAAGATTCAGGATTCTTATCTGTTATTCAGTGTCATAAGTATTGTATTGTGTATATTTTGAATATTAGTTCAATACATTTTGTGTTTCACTTATGCATTAGTAAAGTAGTATATATCAAAATATTACGCCTCTTCTAAACATTCTGTTATTTTAAAGATTGAGTCAGAATTTCATGGGGGTGTGGGGGGCATGACTCACTACATTTTAAAGTTACCTGTGGGACTTGGCTGATAGAATTGTCTAGATATGCCTAGACTTATTCATAAAGTGAGGCTATATGTGATGCCTGTGATTTGAATGTATCCTCCTGAAAAAGCCTGCCTTGAAAACTTAATCCACAATGCACCACTGTTGGGAGATGGAGCCAAATGAGAGGGGATTAGTTCATGAAGGAGGAGTGGATGGATTCCTGCTGCTACCTCAGGAATGGGTTCATTAGTGTGGGAATGAGTTCATTATAAAAGGGGAAGTTTGGCTTCTTTTATTTTCTCTCTTGAGTTTTCTTGCTCTTCTGCCCTCTACCATGGAATGACATAGCAAGAAAACCTTTGCCAGATGCCAGTCCGTCAGTCTTGAACCTCCCAGTCCCCAGAAGCATGAGCCAGTAAATTTCTATTGATCATAATTACACAGTCTCAGGTATTCTGTTATAGCAGCACAAAACAGAATAACACAGTGATTTATTGTATATTCCAGACCTTCCAACTATACTTAAGCTATATAACACTTGTTTACCCTAATATAATTTTTCATTCTATTGTGTTTTTTAACATGTTTAAAAATTATAATGACAGTTATATTACACTAAATTATAATTATAATTTATGTGTTTATTGTGTTTTCAAAAAGCATACATCCTTAAAGCAGCATGTTTAATCAGTGAATTTCAACATAAGGCCTCATTTCATGTGATAGGCAACAGAGTTTTACACCATCTGTATCAGGATTTCCAGGAAAGCAAGATGTTTTTTATCCTTTGAGTACAATTATCATCTACTCAAGTGTGCTTGGTTAATTTGGTTATCTTCATTTCTCTATGGAAGAGCAGATGCTTTCCTTTTACCCTGAATCATTTTTCCTTTTATCCTGAATCATTGTGGTATCAGCAGGCTGGTGAGTAGTAGTGTGTCCATGGAGAACAGAACACCATACAATGCTGTAGTTCCGTAATCATTGCCTTCCTTGACTCAAAGTGGAGAGTCGTTGAATTTTCGTTGCTCCTTTTGGAATCCATTAAATCAAAAATATCATTTCTGAGAATATTTATAAAGCAGTTTTACTAAGTAACTTTCATTTATTCATTTTAAAATATATTTTCTAGAGCAGCCATAAGCAGATTAAAGAGTCCCTTAATTAATTCTCATATCATCCCTGTTAAGCAGATACCAGTGGTGTAACAGATAACTCATCACACACATTAGCAATTTGAGGCAGTGGGAAGTTTGGTGTTAATGCTAAACAGTGTGTCAGCAATAAGGCCAGGAGCATAAGCAAAGTTTTCTAATTCCCGGTAGTGCTCTTGCCCCTAAAACACATGATTTCCTCTATAAGAATGCAAAACCATTTTGCAAGTTTAAGTGTGATATAATCTTTCTTCTCTAATGGAATAAGGCATTTATTTCCTAATCAAAACAGCATTTGCAGTAACAACCATCTTTGTACAATGCAAGGGAATTTGATATTAGGTGATACAGTTGGAACCCAGATCAAGGTCTGTGAGCAGCCACAGTTTCAAACTTCTGGACATTTTGTTCATTTTCTGACAAGGGAAGATTTAGAGCCACATTGAGAAAGAGTTTGATAGATAATGTGTGGGCTAATGACTTGCATATAATTGTGATCGTGTCCCTGTGTATTAAGATTGCAAAAATGTAGATTTTTTGCCTGGATAATCCTACCTGGTTTTGAACTAATCATTTATGAATGCTGTTTTTAAAACTTCTTTTTTCTTTTTTAATCGCTGGCACAGAAATTCAGGTGATACTGTGGAGAACTGAAGAAAACAATGTATTCCATCTTTTTTAAGGAACATGCTTTAAATCTCAAGTGACTTTTTTTTAGGTTTATTTTATACGTCAAAGGTCAACACCTAGCTATGTATTATCACAAAGCAGTCAGTTTTGTTTCCTATGTGTTTTTTATCCTTGTATAAAATGGACCAAGTGTTTGGGATAGGAGAAAGGAAGGCAATTTCTTGCTATATATAAGTAATTCTAGGCTTTGTGTCACCGTAGCATTGAGAATCAATTTCACATGATTTCTCCAAAGTGATACAAGTGGCTTGTGACAAAATTGTAAATACAAAGCAGATACATGTATTCCCATGCCAGCATTTGACTTGAAATTCTATATGGAATCATGGCAGAGGGTACGAAACACTTTAAATCCCTTGCCTAAATTAGGTGATTACAAGATACAAGATATATGGCTCCTAACAGTGTTTGGTGCAGTTAGCATTCAATACAGATTTGTTTATCAAGAATATCTTTTCACTTAGGACATTTTGACTGGGAAACATAGAGTTTAAATCAGGCATATAAAAGCAAACAAAAAAAAATCTTTGAAATTCCCTTATTACTTCCGGTCAAATACATAATACACAGTGGCAAATCGACATGTTAGAAAACAATGCTTTTGAACATCTCCACTTGTTTTTCCCTGTAGTTAGCCCACTTCCATGCAGTTAATCAAATGCCACTCATAAAAATCACTGCCAGTTGCTCTATGATTGTGTTCTCTAATATCATAGGCACTAGCCCCAAGCAGCTATTGAGCCCATGAAATATATAGCAAATATGATCAAAACACTGAATTTTACATTTTAATTAATTTTAACTTAAACCTCATAGCAGTATAAAATATTTTTATTAGAAACATCTTACTGTATCATAGGAATTTTTTTTACTTTAACCATTGCATCAAGTTAGCTATTGTTACATTGCAGTTGTTAGGCATGTGTATTGTTTCTATTGTTACACATAAACTCATTAGCAACATACTCAGTGACAAACGATCAGTGTCAACAGATTGATTCATTTAAATATATTTTTTCTACACATCTAGTAAAACATTTCAATTTGCTTATTTGGATATTGCATACATACCCTGGAGTTAGTCATAATTTGGTAAATTATAGTGACAGTTAAATTGAAATATGCGGTATGTTAATTTTAACATAAAGTATTTTTCTACTTTAAATACTAAGTATAGAAAAATTTGCAAATTTAAAGGCATAATACTGATGTTTAACCAAGTGGAGATGCAGAAACTGGTGATCTGTTGCAAATTTCATAATGAATGGCAACTGAAAATGACATTTTTTAAAAAATAAAAGTGAAGTTGTTTGTTGTGAACAAAGTCAGATATATCACAGTGAATAATTTTAAGAGATGTTTTCAGCAAATACATAGTAGTTTGATCTTTAAAAGAAATTCTATAATTATAAAAGAATTAATAAGATGGATCATGGGAAATTGGAACTAAACATATAATGAACATTTTCTTTAATGACTTAATAGGTTCTTAGTTGGTGGCATTTACCCACTGTAAATGGATAACTTGGATTTTTAAATATATATATATATATATATATATTTTATCATACTTTAAGTTCTAGGGTACATGTGCACAACGTGCAGGTTTGTTACATAGGTATACATGTGCCATGTTGGTTTGCTGCACCCATCAACTCATCATCTACATTAGGTATTTCTCCTAATGCTATCCCTCCCCCAGACCCCCATCCCCTGACAGGCCCTGGTGTGTGATGTTCCCTGCCCTGCATCCAAGTGTTCTCATTGTTCAGTTCCCACCTATGAGTGAGAACATGTGGTGTTTGATTTTCCGTCCTTGTGATAGTTTGCTGAGAATGATGGTTTCCAGCTTCATCTATGTCCCTGCAAAGGACATGAACTCATCCTTTTTTTATGGCTGCATAATATTCCATGGTGTATATGTGCCACATTTTCTTAATCCAGTCTATCATTGATAGACATTTGAGTTGGTTCTAAGTCTTTGCTATTGTGAATAATGCTGCAGTAAATATATGTGTGCACGTGTCTTTATAATAGCATGATTTATAATCCTTTGGGTATATACCCAGTTATGGGATCGCTGGGTCAAATGGTATTTCTAGTTCTTGAAAACAAAAAGAAAGAAAAAAGAAAGAAAAAGATGGAGAGATGGTAGGATAGCTATTTCAGCTAAAAATTTTTGTTAGAAAACTATAAGAAAAGGTATACACACACATATACACACAACAGTAAGTAAAAACTTACAATTAAGCTGACAAAGAATATATAAACTACAAGACATTTTTACAGTATCAAAGATCAGTTGATTCAAAATTTCAAAAATTGCAGGAACAGGATATCTCCAATAGTGCCTTCTTATTAGCTGAAATACTGGTATTGAAAGACATATCGAGCAGTCCTATAACCAGCCTATAGCCACCAATTTATAATGTGATTGAGAAATAAACCTTTCTTTTTTTTCTTAAGTTACTTACATATGTTTTTCTTTTGTTTTGTTACCATAGCACAACCTACCATGAACTATTATAAATGTGTTATTGGAAACTCTGTGTTATCAAGTGCTTTCTCAACCAGTAGAGATTAAAAATACAACTATTTTCAATTGTCTGTCAATATACCCTTTTGTCGTATTAAAAGGTGTCCTCATACATTAAATCTTCAAAACCTGTGTCCCAAGGCAGTTTGTCCCATGAAGAGCTAAAATATGATATGATGTGATATACCCATGTACCCATGTTTATTTTTCCTGAACATATGTTATCTATTTGTGAATTCATGTTTCTTTCTACTTATACCTTGAGAATTATTGAAATCTTATTTGAGAAAACAACCTGATTATTTGTGAATCTGATTGATAAATTCTGCTTTCCAGAATAAAAAACGAAAGAGTGGCCATAACAAAAACCAAGTAACATTTATAAAAGAGAGTTCAGAATGTAGAATGGAACTACTATGTAGATTTTGACAGATATCTTACACACAGATATTCTGAATATTCCGCATATGTAGTGTATTAGTCCATTCTGTGGCTGCTGTAAGGACATACCTGAGACTGTGCGATTTATAAAGGAAAGAGGTTTAATTGACTCACAGTTCTGCAGGGCTGGGTAGGCTTCAGGAAACTTACCTTCAGGTGGAGCGGGAAGCAAACATGTCCTTCTTCACATGGTGGTAGGAAGAAGAAGGAGTGCCGATCAAAGGGGGAAGCCCCTTATAAAACCATCAGATCACATCTCAAAAGAACTAACTGACTATGATGAGAACCCAATTGGCTAAACTGCCCCCATGATTCAACTGTCTTCATGTAGTCCTTCCCACGATATGGAGGGATTATGGGAACTAAAATTCAAGATGAGATTTGGGTCGGTATGCAGCCAAATGATATTATACCACCCCTGGCCCCTCGAAATCTCATGTCCTCACTTTTCAAAACACAATCATGCCCTTCCAACAGTCCCCCAAAGTCTTAACTCATTCCAGCTTTAACTCAAATGTCCAAGTCCAAAGTCTCATCTGAGACAAGGCAATTCCCTTCCATCTATGAGCCTGTAAAATGGAAAGCAAGTTAGTTGCTCCCTGGATACAATGGGGGTACAGGCATCAGGTAAATACACCCATTCTAAATGGGAGAAATTGGCCAAAACAGAAAAATTGTAGGCCTCATGCAAGTCCAAAATCCAGTGGGGCAGTCATTAAACCTTAAAGTTCCAAAATGATCTCCTTTGACTTCATATGTCATATCTAGGACATGCTGATGCAAGAGGTGGGTCCTCATGCCCTTGGGCAGCTCTGCCCCTTTAGGTTTGCAGGGTACAGCCCCCCTCCTGGTTGCTCTCCCAAGCTGGTGTTGAGTGTCTTGGCTTTTCCAGGCCCAGAGTGCAAGCTGTCAGTGGATCTAAAATTCTAGGGTCTAGAGGATGGTGACCCTCTTCTCACAGCTTCATTTGGCAATGCCCCAGTGGAGATTCTGTATTGGGGCTTCAACTCTACATTTCCCTTCAGCACTGCCATAGTAGAGTTTCTTCATGTGGGCCCCACCCCTGCAGCAAACTTCTTCCTGGACATCCAGGAATTTCCATCCATCTGAAATCTAGATGGATGTTCCCAAACCTCAATTCTTCTGTGCACCCACAGGCTCAACACCATGTGTAAGCCACGAAGGCTTGGGGCTTTCACCTTCTGAAGCAATGGCCCAAGCTTTACCTTGGCCCCTTTCAGCCATGGCTAGAGCAGAAGCAGCTGGGACATGGGGCACCAAGTCTAGGCTGCATAGAGGAGGGCATCCCAAGACCAGGCCCAGGAAACCATTTCTTCCTCCTAGGCCTCCAGGCCTGTGATGGGAGGTGATGCCATGAAGTTCTCCGGCATGCCCTGGAGACATTTTTTCCATTGTCTTGGTGATTAACATTTGGCTCCTCTTTACTTATACAAATGTCTGCAACTGGCTTGAATGTGTCTCCAGAAAATAGGGTTTTCTTTGGTTGTTGTTGATGTTGTTTTTGAAGGAGTCTCACTTTGTTGCCCAGGCTGGAGTGCAGTGGTGCAATCTCAGCTCACAGCAACCTCCACCTCCCGGGTTCGAGCGATTCACCTGCCTTAGCCTCCCAAGTAGCTGGAATTACAGGCAGGTGGCACTATGATCAGCTAACTTTTGTTTCTCTCTCTCTCTCTCTCTCTCTCTCTTTTAAGAGGAGACAGGTTTTAATCATGTTTACCAGGTTGGTCTGGAACTCCTGACCTCAGGTAATCCACCTGCCTTGACCTCCTAAAGTGCTAGGGTTTTCTCTTCTATCACATCATCAGGCTGCAAAATTTCCAAACTTTTATCTCTGCTTCCTCTTGAATGCTTTGCTGCTTAGATATTTCTTCCGCCAGATACCCTAAATCATCTCTCAAGCACAAAGTGCACCAATCTCTAGGGAAGGGCAAAATGCCACCAGTCTCTTTGCACAGCAAGAGTGACTGTTACTTCAGTTCCCAACAATTTTCTCATCTTCATCTGATACCATCTCAGCCTGGACTTCATTTTCTGTATCACTATAAAGCATTTGGGTCACAGCTGTTCAACAAGTCTCTAGGAAGTTCCAAACTTTCCCACGTTTCTGTCTTCCTCTGAACCCTCCAAACTGTTCCAACCTCTGCCTGCTACCCAGTTCTAAAGTTGTTTCCACATTTTCAGATATATTTACAGTGGCGTCCCCACTATTCCCACTACCAATTTGCTGTATTAGTCTGTTCTCCCACTGCTATAAGGATATACCTCAGACTGGGTAATTTATAAAGGAAAAAGGTTTAATTGACTCATAGTTCTGCAGGGCTAGGTAGGCCACAGGAAACTTACAGTCATAGTGAGGGGAAGCAAACACATCCTTCTTTATATGGTGGCGGGAAGGAGAAGAATCAGTGCCCAGCAAAGTGGGAAACCCCTTATAAAACCATCAGATCTTGAGAGAACTGACTAGCACAAGAACAGGATGAGACAAACCACCCTCGTGATTCTAGTATCTCCACCTGGTCCCTCCTGTGACTCATGGGGATTATGGGAACTACAAGATGAGATTTGGATGGGGGCACAGTCAAACCATATCATCTGCTTTGTTATATCATATGTGGAAAGCTCTTTCTTTGTTATCCAGAGGAAGTAATAGTTAATGATTGAAGTGCAACTGACACTGTCCTAGCTTGAATTCACTAGAGAGCGTATCCTCAAGAAATGGGTGATAATGATAGGTTTTGGAAAGTGAAATAAAACCAGACAACTGCAGAACAGTTTGAAAAATAGTTGCTCATAGGAATTTAGTCTAGTTTCAATGTTGGATTTCGAAGCTTAAATATCAGGCAAATGATCTTTTCTTACGTTTCCATATTTTTAATTTATTTTTTCTTAAAATGTTTTTAGATATGACCCTGTGAGGCCAGAAAGAAATAAGATAGACAGGGAGAGAAATGTTATGGCAAATAGAGTGAGCCTGTGGTCAGCTGGCAATGAGAAGAACACGCTTGTACAATGCTCCTCTCCCATCACTTCTTCTCTGCTATATCACCCTGATATGAAGTAGAGCAAAACCCATAATAAAAACTAACCTGAAATCCTTTACAGTTTCAATGGAAAGTAAAATGAGACTCTAAAAAAGAGTATATTGAAATATGTTTAGTTTATGATGTTTAGAAAGATTAATATAAAAAGTCTCTAGCAAAATCCTGAGGTCCCTGTATAATTCTGGACAAAAGAATATGAGGGTACTATCTATCTGGTTTAGGATTGTTCAAAATTCATGTCGTTATGCATTTTGAAACATTTGTAAAGCCCCAATGATACAGTGTTTCTATTAATCAATAATTTATTGGGACTCTGTTATGTACCAGCCTTCTAATCTCAAGTGTTTTTCAGTATCTGCTGTGGTATCCAAATGATACTTGTTAGTATCCATTCAACATAGAGCAATGTAAACTTTAAAAAGCAGATAGCTGGTTATGTATGTACAACTCATTAGGACTCGTTTTTGTCTTATTTAGACAATCCCCTAGTAAGAAAAAGCAATGAGGAGAGATTACTGAGATTCATATAAACACTAGTGTTTTATACTTAAGAAAAATATATATTAGTTATGATAGAACCAGCTTTGCTGAAGTGAAACACATCTGCAAATATCTCTGTGGCTTAAGGCAATAAAAAGGTTTGTTTCATGGTATATCACAGGCTGGTTAGAAAGGGGCTGTCCTCTGTGCAGACATTTATGGACTCAGGTTGTCAGAGGTTACGTCATCTTTTAACGATACCCACAAGAATATGTTACCTCTGTTGCTCTATCATGAGATGAAATGACAGACAGAAGTTGTTCTGGAAACTAAAGGCTTAGGGCAGGAAATGACACTTGCCATATATGCTTGCCACCTTTTGGGCAGAACCAGTCCCATAGCCCCAGCTAAGTGAAATTTCAGTAGAGTGTTCTGCTTACCTAGAAGACAAAAAAGACAAAAAGATTGGTACTGATGAGAAATGTTAATATCTCTTGTGTTTAACTCATTTAAATTAAAAAGATTAGTGAAGATCTTCTATGAAGAAAACATTGTGTCATACTATGTTGTACACAGAAATGAGCAAGATGCAGTCACTGACTAGAATACATTCAATCTAACTGAGCTAGCATATTTACACCACTATAATAATGAAAAGTAGAATGTAATGTCATATTAAATTTGACATTGACTCCAAAATTTTATAGGGGTCAAAAAGTACAATTGTAAGGTAAAGTTTAGGAGATGCTAAATGACTACTCACTTGTCTTAGTTCTCTTAAGCTCCACATTTACAAAGACATCTATATTTCACAATAAGAGGCTGATTCAGTAATTTGGTTAATATTTTATTTTAGTGAAGAATTGTGCTTATAAAATAACAAGACAAATATAGAATAGCATATAAAAATCGCCTAAATATAGTTTCATTATATTATTCACTAAATAATTTTATGAATTGCCTTATTTGTTCATTATCTTTCTGCTTGTGTTATTTAATGTGTCTATCTTAGGGATATGAATCCTGTGGTTTAAATTTTTTATAAGTTACAAGATAATTCCTCATTCAGTGTTTCATTTCCAAATCCTCTGAAGAAGATTTGAAAGAATGGCTTTAGAGACAGCCAAATGAATGTATATGTCTGGTAGTTCCAGCGGTAGAAATCAAATCATCCAGAAGACACAATTCAATAAAATAATAAAATAATTCCATAAAATAATTCAGTTTTCTCAGAATAATTTTTACTGTCATGGTGTGGGTTATTTTTAGTAAAGTGATTATTTGGAAATTAGATTGTTTAAACTGGTACGCACCTAACAATTGTACTTCTTTCTATGTTTTTACATTGTCAGAACTGATGTCATATTCTTACTTTATGTTTTATGTAACAAATTTCAAATATCATCTAGGTTATCTAATGTACTATCTGCCAATTCTTCAAACAGATAAGACCTAAATTCAGTCAGCAAATATTATTATAAACCTGCTCAGGCAGTGCCCCACTTAACTTTCCAACTTCATTTTTAAAATCCTTCCCACGTTTTTCTCCTCCACACCCCTTACATACTGCATTCTTTGTGCATACTATCCTTCCACCTAAAATATTCATTCACATGGGCATTTTCAGGTCTGCTTTGACTTATGCTTCAAATTCTCAGTACAAATTTCTTCTCTCCAGTAAATCTTTTGTTGGCCTGATTATCTAATTTATTTTGTTGATGCCAAGGTTTTATGAAGAAGTCAACCTAATCTGTTTGATATCGCACAACACACTCAACATAGTACTTGGCATATCATAATCACTCTTTTTTTTTTTTTTTGAAATGGAGTCTCGCTGTTGTTGCCCAGGTTGAAGTGCAATGGCACAATCTTGGCTCACTGCAACCTCCGCCTAGAAGGTTCAAGCAATTCTCCTGCCTCAGCCTCCTGAGTATCTGGAATTACTGGTATTTTTAGTAGAGATGGGATTTCACCATGTTGGTCAGGCTAGTCTAGAACTCCTGACCTCAGGTGATCTGTCTACCTAGGCCTCCCAAAGTGCTGGGATTACAGACGTGAGCCACCATGCCCAGCCACTAAATATTTTTAAATAAATAACTAAATGAAGAAATCAGGCACTAAAGATTGGGTGACATGCTTAGTGGGAATCCTGGGCATGAGAGGAGCCATTGGATCTTTAGCAAGGAGATAAAATTTGAGTATAGTTTTGAAAGAGGCATAAGAATATGAAATATGGATAAGGAAGGGAGGGAGGTGAAAGTTTACTAAAGAGAATGACATAATTCTATGAAGTCACATGGTAGAAAGACATCATTCTGCCCATGGGCAATCACACTAAATGTCACCATAAGACTTAGAGTTTGAGGTCAGTGAGAATACAAGATTAAGTTGTTTAGTAGTGTTCTATCATTTGACAAGTCTGGTAACATTGGTAGATTCCTTAAAATACATCAATTACTAAAACTGACAAAAGATGAAACAAAAGACCTGAATCGTCCTGTATCTATTAAAGAGTTTGAATTTGTAATTCAAAACTATTCCATAAAGAAACTTCAGGCTTAGGCGGCTTTTCTCCTAATGAGACCCAGCCTTCGTGGCAGGAATAATATTGATTCTCCGCAAACTCTTTCAGAAAATAAAGAGGAAACACTCGGAAATGCATTATGTCTATTTTTTCTGATACCCAAATGAGAAAATAACATTATAAGGAAAATAAACTATGTACGAATATTCTTCATAAAAGTAGAAACAAAAATCATTCATAAAACATTAGCAAAATCAAATCTAACAATACATAAAAAGATGCCACACATGGCCATGTGTAGTTTGTCCCAAAAATGCAAGGTTAATTTAACAGTCACACACACAAAATCAGTCAATACAGTTTAATATTTTAACAAAATAAAAAAAGTTATTTGCCTATCTCAATAGATAAGGAAAAAGCATTTGAAAATATTCAACTACCAATCATGATTTTTCAAAAAATTCCTATAGAACTTAGGAATCAAGAGGGGCAGAGGAGGAGCTTCCAAAACCTAACAAAGGCCATCTATTTAAAAGAAAAAAACCTGCAGCTAACATCATACCTGACACTAAAACTTGGAAATATTTTCCCTAAGATTGGGAACAGGTGTCTACTCTTACCATTTATATTTAACATTTTATTGAAGATGCTATTCTATGATATAAGGTAAGGAGGGGAAAAAAAGCATAAAGATTATAAATAAAGAAGCAGAATTCTCATCAGAATCAAGACAATGATGCCCAGTTTTACTATATTATTTGACAACGTGGCTCTTCCTCTGCAAAATAGTCTTTTTGTGTTTGGTAAAACCCTAAATAGAAGGTTACTATTTAGTCTAACTTCCACCAGACTAAATAGACATTTTCAGACATCATCTCAAGTACGTAATGCTGGGAACTTTCTTCCCTGGAAAAAGAAAGGTCACGTGATTAGAACTTAGATACTAAGCAATGTTTAGCTTAAATTGCAATATGAACTAGATAGTAGTGACACATTTGAGGGGAATGACGGTGGCTATTAAGGCATGCACCCTGATTACAGCTGTTTAAATGCTACCTTGAGACCTCAAACTTTGTTTTTCATTGTTCAAAGAAGATATTTATAGGAGTCAGCAGCACACCTTTGCCATTAGTTCAGAAGGATCCAGTCATACTAAATCAGTAATCATTAGATACATTATTATATATTTACCTATGATATTAGCAATAGTTAATGCTTACTCTGCACTTATTATGCATAGGATGTCTTCTATGAGATGGACATATGATGATTAAATGAATTCCCTGAAAAAGTAATGAGGTCAGTTTTATTTTCCCACTATTTTACAAAGAGAAAAGTGGCACAGAGAGTTTAAGTAATTGGCAAAATTTGATTAATACACATAAGCCACTTGGAAACCAAAAATGCAGTGGTCCAAAAATAACAGAAATATCTTCTATTTTGTTCACAATATTGAAATTAATAAGTCCCTTTTCATTATTTACTTGTTTACATCCAGAATGTTCAATTAAGGTAAAACATATTAGTGAACCATAGTTAATTAAAATAGGCTTCCCATAATATGATCAAGTTAATCTGGAAGTCATTCTGAAACTCAGTGAACTCTAGATATGATAATTCTACAAACTGTTTTTTCATTTATCTTTAATAAGATGATTTACTTTAAAAGTTCTTCATTATTATTTTTTAGAAGCATCCTTACTATCTTGGGAAAACACTTCATGATAAAAAATTTATTACATACTGGATAGTCTATACAATTTTATTATTTAATAATTTTGAATTTGATAATTAAAATTCCTTACACTACAGTTTCAAGATTGTTTAATCAAGCAACACATACTTATTTGTCACCAGCCCTCTTCACTTCAATGGCTATTCAAGGTAAAATTGATTTCATAAAAGACTAGCCAAGACAACAAGGAGAAATAAAAATATCAACAATAATAATAAAAAAAAACTATAGAGAGATGGTAAATAAAAGAGAGAAAACTTTGAGCACTGCTTTGTCAATATATATTAAATTTAGAAATGATGATCAATTCCAAGAAAAACATAGCAACACAACTAATTCAAGAAGTAGGATGAATAGATTTATAACGAATTAAAGAAATTGAATACATTTAAAAATATTTAACAAATAATTTTAAATAACTTTAAAGTTTAGTTTTACTGAACTATCAATAAACAAATACTTCTTATAAATACATAATTCTTATTATGTACATAAATTTCTAGAGAAAATAAAAAGAGGCCACTATACCATTCTTTTTATGAGGCTTATATAAGTGTGTTACAAATAAGAGACAGAGTAATCAATCTTACTCATTAACACTGATGCTAAAAAATACCCATTCAAGATCATTCAATAACGGCTTTAATGTGGTAAAATTTATTTAGCTACTTCTTAAATTCCTAAATTAATTTACCTAATTTTTGAGAAACTCATTTACTTAATTTCCTAAGTTAGTAAACTGAAAAAAGAACAGGAAGAATGCCATAATGTCATCTCAATAGATATTTTTTAAGCATTTGAAAAATTCAGTGCAATTTTATTTTAAAAATAATTTGCAAACTAGAAACAGAATGAATCCTACACATCTTAATTAATGATCATGGATATACAACTAATATCAAATGCTAAAACATTAAAAACATTTTTAAAATAATAAATGAGAAAAATGGTTATTATGGCTTCTATTCAACATTTGTTTGTTGAGTAGAAAAAAATAAAAATATAATGAAATACTTAAATGTTTAAAAAAACACCAAATCTGTATTAGTCATAGTTAATATAACTGACTATACAAGACATCGGAGAAACTTAGAGAAAAAAATTTGTCCTCCATTTTACCAAGTGGCTGATTAAAAATCCATTGCCTTTCTCTTTGAAAACAATCTAAAAATCTTCTTGATAGACATTTACACCAGGCTATGCTTATAGAATGTAAATCAGACCAAAACAAATGGAGAAGATCTTATACATCAATGGAAAGAATCACTATCAAAGACATCTTTTCTGAAATTGATTAAAATATTGAATAGATTTCAATTAAAATTCCAACAGAGATATTTGAGGAGCTTGCCAAGATTCCCATTGTCATGAAGATGTGGACTAAGAGGAATGCTTATATATAGCAAATGGTTATGTGACATTGTACATGAACTTTGAAAATTCAATCTGGCATTTTCTTGTAGAGTTAAAAATATGTATACCTTGTACCTCCACAAAAGTCTAGAGAAATTTTTGCCGTGTATGCCAAGAGACTTCAGAAAATGTAGCCCTGAATGTCAAGAGACTTCATCGAGAGTATTCATTGCAGCTTTGTATTAAAAAAAATCCTAGAAATAATACAAATGATGATCACTATGAAAATGAATAATTTTCCTGTATTGTAATCATCTAAGAGAATAACATACAAAGATAAAAATGAGATATCAGCCCTTTACTAGTCAGCATGGCTAAATTACAAAAACACCAATATGATAGAAGAATAAATATAGCATGGTATCACTTATACAAAGCCTATAAACATACAACACTTAACTCTGATATTTTGGAGACAGGTGTATATGTAGTTAATCCATAGTGAAACATGGGAATAATTAACACTCTGATGGGAAAAAAAAGTAAGATTATTAACGAGGGTACAAACAGTCTTCAAGGTTATTTTTAGTACTTAATTGCTGAATCTGGCAGTGGATTATATATTTTTTAAATTATTCTTTATACCTTAAATATACATTACATATTATTTTTTGTGCTCAAAATATTAAGCAATAAAAACAAAAGAAGCAGAACGATTATGTGAGCATCCATGTTGGCATAGGGGCAGGCTGAAGGCGGGGAAGTATTCTAAGCAGGGGCACCATGCTGTTCAGGGAGCAGAGGCAGCAGATTACAAGAACCAGGAGATAAAAATGTATATTGTATTTTAGGGCATTTCTTCCTCTATGACTAAAATTATCCTTCAGAAACGAGTACGTTTTATTTGAATCTTCACAAAGTCTCTCATATAGTAGGGTGGTTTCTTCATTCTTTATTTTCAACAAACAGATACTTTTTGAGGGCAAGACAGAATAGTCTAAAATTACCACAGCCCATAATCATTTTAAATAGTTATAGAATCTACCTGAGCAAATTGGAAAGACAAGAACTGGAACAATCATAATCCTACTGTAGGTACCTACTGACAGTTTTATTTCTTCACCTTCCTTTTTCACGTAACTCCTCCACAATTTATCTGAATAGATCTTTAGAAAACATTAAAATTCCACAAGTCATGAACTCTTTTATTTGAGAGATAAAGGATTTCAAAACTGTATTTAAAATTTAGCTTCATGAATCGGTTTTGATGAAAGAATGTAAAAATGCAAATTTCAGTAAACATTGCAAATTGTTGCTTATGTATTGCCACACATACGCTGGAAGATTTAACTAACATGATCAATTTAAATGTAAACACATTTAAATTCACTGCTGATTCCTTGTTGATTATCTCGCTGCTTGTAGCTTTATTTCATTTTTCAATAAAGAATGAAGAGAAATGTCTCAGAGTTTGGTAACGCTATTTGGGTTTTATGCTTGCAATGCTTTGAAAGACTGAGTAAAACATTGCCTGAAAAAAATTCATTTTTGTCTACCGTAACTGGATACCACTACATGGAGCTTATACGTAGGCCATAAACACTTCGAGATATATATATTTTAAAAGAATATAACAACTTTAACTTATATTTACTAATTTTCTCCTACCTTATAGCATTTAATCATGCTTGTGTAAGTGTTGGGTAACATGACTTTATTATTGCTGGATCTCTGGTCCAGGCCAGACCTCATGAATTCCAGAGAATAAACATTTCTCACTCCAAACCCTCAAATGGGGCAAAGGTTTTTGAATAGTCAGAAAAGATTTGGTTTTGCATCTTTTTTTTTACTTGAATGTTTCTCTTAAGCTTTCCCCAGATATTCATGCTTGCCAAATCTATTAAGTAAAGTACTTAGTGTTTGTGGACTCATGTTGAACAAGTAGAGCCTCGTTCCCTATAATCATATAAAATAGGAGATGCTTTCATTTGCTGAACAGCATGATGTAGGATTCTATCAACGGTTGTGCTTCTCAAAGACAAGGTAAATGTGGCTGCTGCTAAATTAACCTTTCCTTAAAACAAAGCTGGATTGTGTTTTCTGGTGGCTAGTCACAAAATGGGTAAATTCTTTGGCTCAGGGTAAATACCACCTGCTGATAATAGTTATTTCCTTAGTCTCAATTTTAATTAATTATGTTGTCAAAATGTTTCAGTGAACTCTTGGAAAACTGTACCATAAATAATACCTATAAGTTAAATAAACAAAAGAGCTTACATTTCAGCATTAAAACCCCAAAGCTGCAATCACACCACTGTATTTATTGTCTGATAAAATGTCCAAGGGCAACAAATGGGTAGAATTTGCGAAGATGTAACTGTTTGTTGAAATATACTTTTCTCACATACCAAATTGCTAAGGTGATGAAAAAGTAACAAAAATGAGATTTTAATCAAACTGTACAATATGCTATTTTTGTAAGTGGGAAGAAGTATTGAACATCTCCAGCTAGAAATAATAATTAGCATTCTGCTTAATAGCCTACTGCTTATGGATGCAAAGGAGATAACTTAAGTGAAACACATTCATATGGAAATAATCATATTTGGCAAAAGTCTATGACCATTTTGTTGAGAATTACAGAGGAAAAGATATATATTTTGTAATATAAAGTATATTATTAAGGTAATATTTACTTCATTTCTTCAAACTTCTATCTTCTTGTAAAATACAGTAATTAATTTTGGAGCTTAAATATTTTATGGTCTCTCATTAATATGTATAAGAAATTTGTCATCTTTATTATGATATGTCCTTGCTAAAATTGTTAGGAATTTTTTGGCCAATATAATATGACTATGAAGGGATTTTTGGGAAGGAAAAAACTAAAATGGTTGTAATGAAATCTCATTTTGAAGACATGAATGAATGTTTAAGAGTACTCTTGTATACATGAAAAACATTAAGAATGAAAGCTTCAAGAAGCCTATTCTGAAAGCCATTGTTTGAAATAAAACCTACAAAAGTCAATGCTTTAGAAAAAATGGTGAAAAACCCAGAATGATGTCCTCTTATGTCAAGACATAAGAGCGTCTCCAACTCTAGACTCCATGATCCCCTACAATGCATTGGTTGGGTGCCATATTCTCATCTTTCTACAGAGGAATAACTATTTTATATTTTAAGTGGCCATGACAAAAAATTCTACAAAATAGAGCAAAATATACATAAGCTTTTAAATCAAGCTAGTTTCAGTACTTCATCTTCATTATTGTTGCCCGGTAGCAGAGTACCCCCCGACCCAGAACTTCCATTGGCTTACGTTATGACAGAACAAGAAACTGAACTGCTGTAACATAGCCACTTGGTAAATATGTATTGAATTAAATAAGAACTTTATTGTCAGTGTCCTACCATATCTGAACTTTCATCTGACATGCACACTGAGTTTCAATGAAATTTAAAAATATTGCCTTGTGATTTTTTTTTAGAGGTTGCTTTTTTGAAGTTGTCACAGTTGTTTTTCTTGATATGTGTTCTGTCTATGAATTGCGAGAAACACACAGTCACTTTGAGGAAGATAGGACATAGGAACATTACAAACAAAAAAAGGCAAAAGAAAAATAGATGAAAGAGATTTTTATTATTTTTATTCCTGCGTTTTTCCCTGGGTGTTTTAGATAATTCTTTGTGCCTTAGAGAACAATATTAGAGCATGAAAGGAAGCCTTTTGTTAGTATTTTAATTTTTTCTTACCCTTATTCTTTATTATCACGGTTTGCATTATTGATGAGACAATTTTAGTTAATAGGTAGTTCCCTTAGAATGGGAAATTCCATTCGAGAAACAATTATGGGCATCTCACAATTTTGTAAGTAACATTTTTACTAAGTAAGTGGTATTTAACTTACAACGAGGTGATAAAGAACATGGATTTGAAGATACAGAGTGTTACTTGTGGGTCTCAGAATTAAAAATTTGGCAATCTACTCAGTTCTTCTAGGTGTCTGATCCTTACAAGTGGAAACAGTGGGCTCTTACAGTTGTAAAGTTACAATAAGTTATAAGAATGTAGCACAGTACCTGATGTATAATAAGTACATAGTAAATATTAGCTATTATTAGTATTATACCTACCAAATTTAACAACAACAAAATGTTCATGATTAAAAGGTATGAAGTAAGATTCAGTAACAAATTATATATAAAGGGGCATGTGACATCCTATTGATTACCAGGGTGACTTCAATTATTTTGGTTCTTTCTTATGCGCCATTTCATGTGGATCACTACTCAAAACATATCTCACTGAAAAGCAGAAATCTTTCCCCAATAGGGAAGGGGTCATTCTTGTTTCAGTAATTAACTAGTAGCTGCACTGTCTTGCTGAAACCATTAGCCAAGATGTAAAGATCAATTTATGGAAAAAAAAATCTGTCCTCTGCTTCAGTAGAAGGTAAAGGATGCTGTTCACAAATGTAGGTGATTCTGAGGCTATGATGAAGAGAAGTACCTTCCTGGTGGGCTCTTACTAGCATGTAGTCCAAATGGGGCTTTAGGAATAGAGCCAAGATCAGGCCTAGGAAAGCAGTCTTGGCAGGAGGAGCTTCAGATATTAAAAGTCAAATAACAAGGAATAACCAGAGAGTGCACAAAGTCCAGGTATTTCATTCACCAATTTCTTGTCTTTTTATTCATAATTTAAATAAGAAAGATCTAGTGAAGTCTTTTCTTTTTCCTTCAGCTTTTAAGTTCTGGGGTACACATGCAGGTTGTGCAGGTTTGTTACATAGGTAAACGTGTGCCATGGTGGTTTGTGGCACAGATCAACCCATCACCTTGGTATTAGCCCAGCATCCATTAGCTATTCTTCCTGGTGCCTACCCTACCCCCACCCCACTCAACAGGCATCAGTGTGCCTTGTTCCCCACCATGTGCCTATCAGTTCTCATTGGTTCACCTACCACTTATAAGTGCGAATATGCTGTGTTTGGTTTTCTGTTCCTGTGTTAGTTTGCTGAGGATAATGGCTTCAGCTCTGTCAAGGTCTAGGCACAAATACCATTTAACCTAGCAATCCCGTTACTGGGTATATACCTAAAGGAATATAAATCATTCTCTTATAAAGATACATGCATGCATATGTTCCTTGCACCACTTTTCACAATAGCAAAGACACGGGATGTAGTGAAGTCTTAAAGGGGCAGAATGAAAGAGTCATTCAAATACATTGTAATTTTGAATGAAAAATGCAAAACAATTTTTCAGAGCTCCAGGTTCAAATGACGTCACATCATACAACTGTAGTTTGCTGGCTTGAATCAGCAGGGGACAATGGGATAATCGTTCCTATAATGTGGATTAAACTCTTTCAAAGTAGTGTTGCTTTTCCCCGAATAATTTAGAAATAGCTTTTTTGAAATGTTTTTAATAGTCCCTTACATGCATACAGGGGCAAGACCAAAGCCAAGTTAAAGCAACAGGAACTATAAACTACAAAGACTCTTCCACTTTTGATTACTAAGAATCTATTCCTGACTTAATGTTATTTTGCTTGGCAACTTCTTCCAAAATTTTTTAGACCAAAATTTTCGTAGGAAACATGCAGTCACCCACATAAATAGACTTCAGTAAGCTCATTCATTCTATCAGTTTTCTGACACATGGTTTCAGATGTCTAGAACCCAGTACATATCCAAGAGAATCTTTGCCATCATATGAATAGAATTATATCAGTCTGGTACCATCAGGCTTCCAAATTATGTCCAGATATACTGAACATCCTATTAATGTACAGATAAAGCTAAGTTCAAACAAGATTCCTGTTACATTCAGAATTGTGGGTAGGATGCAGTTTAAATTATCCCATTTATTAAAGCCATCCTGTTAATTTATCATTTTATTCTATTTTGGGCTATGATGAAACAGTAATGCTTAAGTTCACTTTATCTCCAAAAGAATGATCAGAGTCTGAATGGTTTGTGTACATCATCAGCTAGCTACATTTGAAGTACAGTTGTGAAGCACTGAGACATGGCTTTCAGAGTAGTAAAAAGGCCATGTATACCATCAGTCAGTTAAAAAATAATACATTCAAAATATGAGACTGTTTTATCTGTGTTGATTTTTTCCTACAAGTCAAATAGTAGCTTTAGTTAAATCTATTTCATACTGAACTGTTTTTGCAAGGTTTATGTGACCTAACTGAAGGAAGAAAAGAAAGCAAAGATGCTTTTGATAATGGGGAGAATGGGGAATAATGAACTCTTCGAGGAATGGAGTCAGTCTGGACATGAGCAGCAGACAGTGCAAGGGTCTCAACTACTTCAGATGTTATGAATGCAGAAGGTAGTGAGGATTGCAGTGTCCCACAGACGCATTCTTAGTTACCACTTGTAATAATCATATGCTGGATATCAATTAATTAGTAACAATGTCTTATAGCAGCAATCATTTATTATGTATGTTAAGCTATAGCAAATACTTCTACAAATAGCATTTTAGAAAGCAACCTCTAGAAGAGGGTCATGATAAAAGCACTGTTCAAAAATCTTCAATCCTTTTTTTGGCCTACTATAGATAGTAATAAAGTACGAAAAATTTTCTTAGGGTTAATTCAAGCTTCTGTGTCTTGACATTATGAAGTCAACTTATCTTTAAATCCTCATTCTTCTTACTTTTAGCGATATTAACTGTTCTCTTTATTTTTCTTAGAAAAATGCTCTACTTGCTTCTATGAATGTGTCAACAGCACTTTTTTTTTTTATACAGAGTTTCACACCTGTTGCCCAGGCTGAAGTGCAGTGGTGTGTTCTAGGCTCACTGCAACCTCCGCCTCCCAGGTTCAAGCAGTTCTCCTGCCTCAGCCTCCCACATAGCTGGGATTACAGGCATGCGCCATTACGCCTGGCTAATTTTGTATTTTTAGTAGAGATAGGGTTTCTCCATGTTGGTCAGGCTGGTCTTAAACTACTGACCTCAGGTAATTGGCCCGCCTTGGCCTCCCAAAGTGCTGGGATTACAGGCCTGAGCCACCGCACCCAGCCTCCACAGCATTTTTTAATTTCTCATATGTTTCCTCATGTCTATCCAGCTCCAATAAAATTCCAGCACAATTCTTAATAGTTCCTTGAAAACTATTCCTAAAGATATCTATAATGACTTTTTTTTTTTTTAATTTACCACTCATCCACTCAGTATACCACTGCTTTAGCAATGAATCATATTCTTCCTGGTAAAATATGTGTATTGCTATTTAATATTTCATAACTGTAAAAAACTTTATCTGTATATCACTGCCATTAGTAAATTATAAAACCCAGATAGATGGAGACCCCGGTATGTTTTCTAATGTTATATAATACCTTTTGTTAAAAAAATCTTAAGTAGTCCTTTATTTTTAAGTGAATACGATCACGCTTGACCAAAATATGTATGCCATCTCCAAACCTAACCAGATAATCATAAAATGTTGGACTAAATAAAATATTTTTATCCAACCTAATTATGAGATTAGTAGTGCTTCTTGTTTAAATACTGGAGTACTCTAATAAATATTTTACATTAATAAGGGTTTATGGTTTTTAAGCAATAACATCCAACTCCAGATGATGCCAAGTTCTGAAAAAGGAGTTTTATACAAGTGTATTTGCCCAGCGACTTCACGGCTAGGTACCGTCTCGAAAGATATGAAAGCATATGTCCACAAAAAGATGTGTATGAATCTTCAAAGTAGATCAATTCATAATAGCCCCAAATTGGAAAGAAATAAAATGTCTATCACAGGATAGTGAATCAACAAATTGTAACCTATTCATATGAAGGTGCACTTCTTAGCAATAACATGAGTGAAAAATCCCAGAAATATTAGGTTGATCAACAAAGGCCAGACACTAAAGATATATAAGATATTGTTCCATTCATATGAAGCTTAAGTTGCCAAGATTAATCTGTAGGGATAAAAATATCAGAACAGTGCTTCCCCCAGGGGAGGCGGTACTGTGGAGAAAAGGGCATGAGAAACACTCTGCAGTTATGCAAACATTCTATATATTAATGAGGGATGATAATATTGATGGGTAAAATTTTTCAAATCTCAAACAGTACATGTAAGTTCTGTACATTTTAATTTATGCAAGATAAATCTCCATAATAAAAAAGATATGGAATAGCTTTAAAAATATCACTGGGAGGCCTCCATAACAAGAGCCAAAACCATTCCTTAGATATTTTATAATGAGAATACTGAAAGTTTTTAAGGTCACCACTGAGCTTCAGATCTCAAAGTTTGCGCTTCTGGCACACACGTGGATGTGTATGTATGTGTGTGGTGAGCACACATGCATGCATTTTTATGAATGAGTGTGCCTCACTGCATTTCCTGACTTCACTTTAACTTGATTACCTCTGTAATGGCCCAATCTTCAAATAAGACCACATTCTGAGCAACTGGGGTTGGGATTCAACATGTGAATTTGAGGGAGTGGGGACACAATTCAATCCATGACTTGTAGGCAGCAGCAAACATAAAGTATAGTACATCTTACAGTGTCTCTCTGCAGCAAATTAAAATATTTGGCTCTGAAATCATTGGCAGAACTTGTCACATGGCTCTATCTTCAGTGTGTATGGAAAATTGAAATCCTGCTCTATACCAGGAAGACAGGGAGCCGAAAGTATTCGGTGAATAGCGTTAATGATCACTTGCCCTAGTATTTGATTCTTTTAATAAATATATCAGTATTTTTAGAGTAAACAAAGGAGGGATTAACAACTCATATGGCTTGGCTGTGTCCCTACCCATATCTCCTCTTGAACTGTAGTTCCCATAATCCCTGGCATCTAATAAAAATGTATCAGGATGAAAAGAAACAGAAATTACAACCTACAATATGAAAAAAAAATCATTAGAAAATGACTCAGAAATGACACATGTTAACAGAATTTATAGTTAATGACATTAAAATAGTTATTTTGGCTGCAACCTGTTAGTTTAAGAAGCTAAAGGAAAAATTGAGCATGTGATGTGAAGGCATGAGAGATGTAAAAATTACCCAGATCTATCTGGAGTTGAAAAATACAATATCTTAGATTTCTAAAAATACATTGGATATGTTTGATGATAGATTAGACAATGCATAAGGAAGATTAGTGAACTTGAATCCATAACAATGGAAACTATCCAAAATAAAACTCTGTGAGAAAAGTATATAAAAATGAACATATAAACAGTAGCAACAACACCAACAAAAGCCCAGGGCATCAGTGAGATGTGAAACAATTTAAGGTGGCTAAATATATGTGCAATTGGAATCCTCAAAGGAAAGCAGAGAGGGGAAGGATAAAAAAAAAACATTGAAAAATAACAGCTGAAGAATGTCCAAAATTGATGAAACATATGAACGCATAATTCCAAAAACTCAACAAACCCCAAACAGAAGAAACATGAAGGAAACTACACCAAAGCACAGTATAATCAAATGCTTAAAGCTAGTGATATAGAGAAAATCTTAAAAGCAACAATGTAAAAAAAGATACCTTTTTATATAGAGAAAAAAGGATCAGGTTGACTGCAGTTTTCTCATCAGAAACAATGAATTCTAGAAGACAGTAGAACAACATCTTATAGTACTGAAAAAAAAAAAACTATAAATGTCAACTTAGAATTTTTTACCCAGCAAAAATGTCTTTAAAAGAACAACGACATAAAGGTTTTTCCAGACAGAAAAGTTGAGTATGCAAAAATTCAGTTTTCATGAGATAATGCTCAATAGTTGTGTTAGGCCATTTTTGCATCACTATAAAGAAACACTTGAGGTTGGGTAATTTATAAAGAGTGGAGGTTTAATTGGCTCTTGGTTCTGCTGGCTGCAGAACCATTGTGTTGATATCGCTTGGCTTCTGGTAAGGGCCACAGAAAGCTTCCAATCATGGCTAAGGCAAAGGGGGAACCAGCATATCACATGGTGAGAGAGGGGGTGAGAGAGAGAGAGCGGGAGGTCCCAGACTTTTAAACAACCAGATCTCATGTGAACTAACTAAGCAAGAACTCATTTATCACCAAGGGAATGGTGCTAAGCCCTTCATGAGGCATCCACCCCCATGATCCAGTCACCTCCCACTAGGCCCCACTTCCAACACTGGGAATCGCATTTCAACATGAGATTTAGAGAGGACAAACCTCCAAATCACATTAATAGTTTAAAAGAATTATCCTATATAAAACCTGGTATTAGATTTTTGATTTTTACCAATTTAGTAGGTCTGATTATGATCTTTATACACATTTAACTTTGTACAAACATCTTTTTGTTTATTGACTATATGTTCCTTCTTCTAATGTCCATTTGTGTTCTTTGCACATTTTTCTATTGCTTTGTTTGACTTTAATTATTTCTATCTTATAAAACTAGCTTTTGAAGGTTATGTATGTGACTATTTCTGTTTTAAGAGGTCTATTAGCCCATAATAGTTTTTAATTTTATATAGAAAATTTGCTGATTTTTAATGAAATGTTGGTATCTTGCTTGTAAAATAATTTTATATCCCAAGAGCATAAAAATGTTCTTTATTTCTTTCTAAACATTTGAAAATATGGGCATCCCTTGCTTTTCAGGATTCTAATATGAACAAACTTTAGTTACCACAGTTCAGTTAAGTAACACCAGTGCCCCAACAACATAGTTTAAATTTTAGTCACCATGGTTTACTAACTATGTACAATTGTACAAAATAAAGACTTCACGGGTAATTTTTTAGTACAAAAAATTTTATAAATAACAGATGCACACCATGATCAGTGACAAATTATATCACTTCCTTCAAGGTGCATTGATAATTTGTCACTGTGCATATCTTATTAGGTTCATACAGAGGGTATGTGGGTGTGTTGCCTTGTTTTCCAGTGATAAACTTACATGACATTTAAAAAGCACATAATCATAGAAGGATACTGAACAATGATTATAAAAATGTAGTAAAAGAAAGAAAAGTAATTGCTCTGTAAGTGAAGTTCACATGGACAGAAATGGAGTTACTCAATTAGAATATTGACACTGCTGCCATTTGAGAGACTCTAAGTGTGCAGCCTGAGAAACTTGGTGACAGCAAACTTATCAATGTAAATGAAGAAAGTGATTGTGATGACAAAAAGACATCCCAGAGGAAATGGCATTGGCTTAAAGAAAAATTTTACATTAATGTAACCATTATAGATATTTTACAACTCTCAAAGCATAAAGGATAAAATGATGAAAGCTAATCCAAACCTCTGGCAATTCATCAAGGCATAGAAAACATGAGCTGCACGCCACCAATTACACAATAACAAGGCAGACATTGTTCAAGCTGCTTTTGATAGGTATTTTTTTCCAAAGAGACAAAACAATGTAATTTTCAGTGTTACCATGTTTTACCTTAACATTGTACTAAATAAATTTTAGTTTTATTGTATATTTTTCCTATACACTTATAAACAAGAGTAAGAGTGTTTGAATGTTTTGGGAAAAACTTTAAAGGTCATGAAACAATTATAACTTTTATCATTGATTATGATCATTTTGCACAGTTTCAACTTTCTCAGTCTTTTAGGATTCTGCACTACCATGCAAGCAAGAACTACCTGTCTTGCTTTCACCTTTAATTCCATATTTCATCTAACATTTAATTTTTGGAATTTCTCAAAGTAGGGAATTATTGTATATTTTTTTTCTAAAAATATGGATATACAAGGGTCTTAACACCACATATTGAATAGCCTTCTCTTTGTTTATTGATCAGTAATGCCATCTGTTTTACATATCTAGGTTGCATATATAAATGAGTCTTCGCACATTTTCCAATGCACTTAAGTGGTCATTGTCTACCCCTGTCTTACTACCATAATATTTTAATTAAGTTGTATGCACTAAATGTTGATATTTTAGAGGGAAGTCACTCTGCTTTATCATGTTTCAGGAGTATCTTGGCTCTTCTTCGCCCTTTGGTTGGCCACGTAAATCTAATAATAGGATAATAAATTCTTTCATATTTGCACTATATAGAGTGAGACTAATTTATAACACGGATACATACTTCAAATCTCATTTTTAAGTTGAACTAAAGATTTAATATATATGTGTGTGTATATACACACACACATATGTTTTGAATAAAGAGGCTAATATATATAATATATATATGCACACACTGTTGTGAATAAAGAGGCTAATATATATTGCCATATGTGTATATATGTGTGCCTTTATTCATGTGTGTGTATATATATATATAATATGTATTATATATGTTAGTCTCTTTATTCACAACAATGTTTTTTGCCTTAACTCTGTTTTGTCTGATGATATTAATTAATCATTTACAGGTTTTCTTGGGTTGGCCTTTTTTCTTATACATCTTTTTCTATTTTAAAGTTTCGTGTATTTATTTTATGCTTTATATGTCTTTTTAGAACACCATAAGACTAGATTTTGTAAACACCTTTGCTTGAACATGATAGTTCCTATTCTTTTAACCAATAATTTTAAATCATTTACATTTATGTAACTATGATATATTTGAATTGCTTTTACTATCTTACTTTTTATATTTCCTTTGTCTTGCCTTTTCTATATTTATTTTTTGTATTGATTTGAAAGTTGAAGCTTTTATAGCTATCCAGTAATCACTTTCCTGAAATCATTATCATGCATATTTAATTTCACCATGCATATCTTACCGCACCTTGGTTTAATTACACCCTCCCAACATGCAATGACAATATTACTCAATATTTTTTATATTAGTCATTTCTGTGGTAAATATATGTATAAATTAAATGTATGTGGTAAATATAAATATCAAAAAGTTTACTATTTTTAACCATTTTAAGTGTATATTCACCTAACAACAACCACGGTCCATTTCAGAACTTTTTCATTTTCCCAAACTGAAACCCTATACCCATTAGCAATAACTCTTTTACTCTAGCACCTGGCAACCACCATTCTACTTTCTGTCTCTATGATTTGACTACTCTAGGTATCTCCTGTAAAGTGGAATCATACAGCATCTGTCCTTTTGTGAATATCTTATCTCAGTTACTGTAATGTCTACAATATTTACCATTGCTTTTAGAATGTGTCATAATTTATTTTTAATGCCGATTAATATTCCATTGTATTCATATACAACAATCTGTTTATCATTCATCTTCGGATGAAACTTGATTTGCTTCCACCTTTTGGCTATTGTAAATAATGCTGTTATGAATGTGGATGTATAGCTATCTTTCTGAGTCTCTGATTTCAATTCTTTGGGGTCTATACCTGGCATTGGAATTGCCAGATCATATGGTCCTTCTGTTTTTAATTTCATGAGGAACTGTTTTCCACAGTGGCTGTATCATTTTACATCCCCACCAGCAACTTCGTGGTGAGAATGTAGAATCGTGTATGGATGAGTAGCAGAGGAGAATATGATAGACATTTCAGAAGCACACATAAAGAATGACAAATTTACAACAACATTTTTCAAGTACGGATGTGTCCTCTGCAGTACTTATTTAAATGTGTTTTCATTCCACATTCCACGCAGAAAATGAATTTCTGAGAGTTTGGTAATGTGCATTTCGTGTATGTTCATATTTGAGAATGGCTATCAAAGGAAGAAGATGTGACATTCTATCATGAATTTAAAAGCAGGTTTTATAAAAGTGAGCTTTTCAATCGACTGAGCATCCAGTGGAGAAAGAGGGATTGAAAGAGTTTCCCAGACAGGCACAAATGGAAGGTGCCTTAAATATAAGTGGTAGAATTATTCTTGAGGAGTAAGATGCCTGCTCAACCTTTCTTTTCTTCAGTTTGCTATAGAAAACTTGTGAGAGAGAACATAAGATTACAATGAGCTATTAAAAGAAGCACAAGTAGCTAAACGAGCGGCTGCTTAAGGTACATCTGGGATGATGGTGGGAAGATAGCTGTACCTACTGGTATTAACCAGAAGTTATTTTCTTGATGAAAACAAAAAATATATATTTAAAGTAAACAGCACAGTAATTACTCATTTGAATTAATCATAAGATTGCTTTAAGAAATGGAATGTTGTAGGAAACCCAGTGAACAAATTCTGAATGCGTCAGCATCATTTAATGCCATTTCCAAATTTAAAAAATGTGAGCACTAATACTGTTTTTTCACTATATTTATCTTTTCATGCCCAGCACATAACAATTCTTGAGCTCATTTTCAAATTTTGTAAGTGCCACACACTTTATAAGGTGCTCTACATTATTTCACAAACCTCTAAGAAACGAGCCTGATCACTACTCAAAATGCATCTATCTACTTCATTAAAGAGTATATACCAACATGGCGGAAAGAAAAATACCTACCACGTGGGTTGGTGAAGGCCAGTTAGTTCTGGAACCATTTAAATAACACAGATGTGAATTTCGTTTACTTAGGTTTCTGAATATACAGCATATGCTGATTTTGAAATCTAAACACTGGAAGAGCAGCTGTGAAGTGATGAAAGCGATCACATCATGTTAGCCTTAATCAGAATAGCTCTTGAGACAGTAATGGAGTCGATATACTGAAAGAAACAGCTGGCTTTGTTTTGCCTTAGAATTAGCAGCAATATGGATGAAACCCAGCTGCTGATAATTCTGATTAATTATGTATCAAACTAAAGTTTTCTTTTTTTTCCATGATAGCTGAACATAAAGTTTCCAAGGTTTTTCTTGTTTGCTTTTTTAATGTATTAAGCACAGACACTTTCTACAGAATTTGATTTTATATATGAAATTATATAGAAACTGATTTAGGATGTGATGAAAGTTCTCCAGCTTCAGCATTCGAGTGTGCCTAGAGGTAAATTTTGACCTTGTCAGTGGGTGACAGCTGAATTATGATTCAGCTCCTGTGAAAAATGATATGTCTCCAATATTAGATTAATTTCCTGTAAACTTTACTATTCTGCATTACCAAACCTTGTAAATGTCATCTTTATCCATCATCCTGAGGTATTTTGATGTTGCTTGTATAGTAATTTTGATTTCATTTTCAGTTTATCTAAAGCGACAGTTATTTCCCTATTAAATCACACTCTACATTTTTATTACAAATTTCACTAAAAGATCCATAATATGCCTTTGAAAAATTATGAATGCTTGTTTAGTTTCCATGTAAATTAGGTGACACAGGGATGACTAGGATGAAGCATCAGAAAATAACTATTATACCTAAATTAATATGTTTTCATAGAATATACAAATAATCCATTGCCAACTGATGGGTAGTGTCTTCCATTAATATGCTGTTTATACATAATATGAAATTCTGAACATCCGAGTCATAATGACTTCCTTCAAGTGTGAAGAACACTGAACAAATGCACGTGGAATCTGATGTTCCAGTCCTGGGACAACTAAGTCACTCAATTACTTACTTA
This sequence comes from Homo sapiens, assembly GCF_000001405.40. Classification (NCBI taxonomy): domain Eukaryota; kingdom Metazoa; phylum Chordata; class Mammalia; order Primates; family Hominidae; genus Homo; species Homo sapiens. The sequence goes on along the minus strand of NC_000008.11, from coordinate 16,297,416 downwards.
TGAAGATGACACTCAGTTTCAATGGACTTCTCTTTATTGGTTTACCAAAAACAATGTAATTAAAGTATCCATTTCAAAAGCCACTTTCGGTTCAAGTTCCAAAATGCTTTAAGTTTATTACATTTAAATGTAATAAACTTACATTTAAATGTAAGTTTATTACATTTAAATATAATAACATTTAAATGTAAGTTTATTACATTTAAATATAATAACATTTAAATGTAATGGACAATTTCTTTATTGTTTTCACATCTAAATTTTATACATAAACATACATAAAATCAAAACAAATGTATCATTTCAACATTCATGTATGCATTACAGATTACATGAAAATACAGAGAATGATAATAATTCTAGGTATAAAACATTGCAAAAGGGGCCACAATGCTTGGCAACCAACTCTACATCAGGTGATAGAGCCTCTTTCCCCACTGCTATAATCTGGACTGGCTTTATGACATGTTTTGAGCTATTGTTACAGCAGACACATTATGCCAGTTCTGAGACTAGGCCTCCAGAAGTCTTGGAGCTTTCTCTCTTGCTCTCTTGAAACTCAGAACTGCTCTGGCAAGAAGCCCAGGTTAATCTATTGGATTTTATGAGACAGCTAGCCAACTCTGAACACAATCTTCAGCTGGATACCTGGGTCTGGCTGAGATGCAGACAAACCATTCAGACAAAGCCAGCCCAAACTGTCAACTCATAGAATTGTAAGCTAAATCAACATTGCTTGTTTTAAGCCACTAAGTTTTGGGACACTTCATTACACAGCAATAAATAACAAATACAGTAATTAACACCAATTGAGAATCTACGATGTCAGGTATTAGTTCGGACATGTAACATAGGATGTCTCACTCCAGTCTCTAGGTAGGAATTATACCTACCCTCAGTTTACAGATGATGTTCATGAAGTATAGAGTTTACTTAACTTGCCTAAGTTTATAGAACTAGCAAGCTGTGTAGCCATAATTTTAACAATCATTCTGACATCGAGTGATGAAATCATAGCCATTACTTCTCTATGCTTAAATGAAACAAGTTAGTGTTTTTTGGTGCCTTACTCTCTATAATATAGTTGCATGCATACATGGATACTTGCATAGGTATGCATTTACAATTACTACCATCTGACTTTGTAGAACAATCTACCCATAAGTTCTCCAATTCAAAATTCTTGCATATTTAATGTATTGCTCTTATCAAGAAGGTGGTCATGTTGCTCCAAGAGTTGCTTTTCTTCAATTTCTTATTGCATGAGTGCTTGAAACAGTGTGTTTGTTGCTGCTGCCAGAGTTCTGAAGTCAACATGTTTGTTACTATATCCTCCAGCGTTGAATGGAAATCTATTCCTCACTATGCAGGTTGAAAATTAAGTTGTAGTCCAACAGTAATAACAGTATCTGATGGTAACATTTAAACTATGTATTAAGTGAGGATTAAGTAAGCATTTGAACTCTCTTTTAAGATCTGGCTTCAGAGCACTTTTTGTATGTGAAAATTTATTTTAAATAATTAACAATGGATTTGCCAATCATCTCTGGAATTTTTAAAATGTTATTCATAAATTTATTTATAGGTGCAGAAGTCCCTAACATTAAAAAAATGTATACACATATGCACGTATAAATATTTGTCTGTTTATACATTTACATGTTAAGTCCACATGACTTTTTATTTTAACTCTCCACTACTAATAACATAAAGATTCAAGGACAAGTATTATAAATTTAATAATTTCATATGATTCAATGGAATAAAAATCACTTTTTATACTTACATGGCAATATGAGTTGAATTTTTTATTTTTCCAAAAATAGTTTTAGAGAAAGGTGATTTAATAAAAAAAAATAGGAAAAAGAAATCCCACTGCTGCCAATTCAAGGGCATGCTGCATTTGTTTGATGCTAAACAATAAACGAATTTTATAATTTATTTAATTATATTTTTAATTTCCATATTAAGCTATTACGCAGCATTGTATGATTTAAACCCACCTAAAAAGACAAAGGCATATATGATTAATCTCCTAAAGTTTTTTTGAAATAGAATTCATTTTAATCATAATCACAGATAAATGAAGGTGGATGGGAAAAAATACTTTGTTCAGTTTAAGGATAATCTAACTGACTATCGGGGAAAATTCAGCCCCCAATATTTCACATGGGTCCTTTTCTATTTTCCCTCAGTGTTGGCCGGTCTGAGAAATAAAGGGAAAGAGTATAGAAGACAGAAATTTGAAGCTGGGTGTCCGGGGGAGATATCACATGTCGGCAGGTTCCGTGATGCCCCCTGAGCCGTAAAACCAGCAAGTTTTTATTAGCAGTTTTCAAAGGGGAGGGAGTGTATGAACAGGGTGTGGGTCACAGAGATCACATGCTTCAAGGGCAACAAAAGGTCACAAGGCAGAAGGTCAGGTAGAAACCAGAATCACTAATGAACTTCCATGTCCTGCTGTGCACGCATTGTCAGGGTTCAAGAGCAGAGAACCGGTCTGACTAGAATTCGCCAGGCTGGAATTTCCTAATCCTAGCAAGCCTGGGGGTGCTGCAGGAGACTAGGGCATGTTTCATCCTTATCTACATCTGCATAAGGCAGACACTCCCACGGTGGCCATTTTAGAGGCCCTGCCCTGGGAATGCATTCTTTTCCCAGGGCTGTTATTAATATTCCTTACTGGGGAAAGAATTCAGCGATATTTCTCTGGCCCATTTTCGGTAATAAGAGAAATATGGCTCTGTCCTGCCTGGCCCACAGGCAGCCAGACTTTAAGGTTATCTCACTTGTTCCCTGAAAATCGCTGTTATCCTGTTCTTAAGGTGCCCAGATTTCATATTGTTCAAACACACAGGCTCTACAAACAATTTGTGCAGTTAACGCAATCATCACAGGGTCCTGAGGTGACATATATCCTCAGCTTATGAAGATGACAGGATTAAGAGATTGAAGACAGGCATAGGAAATCACAAGAGTATGGATTGGGAAAGTGATAAACGTCCAGGAAATCTTCACAATTTATGTTCAGAGATTGCAGTAAAGACAGGCGTAAGAAATTATAAAAGTATTAATTTGGGGAACTAATAAATTTCCATGAAATCTTCTCAATTTATGTTCTTCTGCTACGGCTTCAGCCAGTCCCTCCATTCGGGGTCCCTGACTTCCTGCAACAACTGACCAAATAGTTTTATCAAATGAAGATTTAGATTCACTTATTGCTTTATTCAGAACTGTCTATATTGATGAATTAAATATATGGTATTACACGGAATTAATTGTGCAATTTGCTAAACTCTGCTTCATGCTTCATTTGCATTACATTGAAATTCATGAAACATGTTTGCACAGTTGTCTGAGAATTATCCTTTGACCATAGCAAACATATTGTTGCAAAAACAAACCATCCAAAACAAAAGAGAAGGATTGGCACATATAAACCTATAGATTTGCAGTTGCTTAAAATGAAATTCTGAAAATGTAATTTTGCCAAGAAGTCTCCTGGTGCAATAATTAAATTTGTCTTTGTCTGAATGACTAAACAGTCTTCTACAGAAAGTGAAATTTGCCAGATAATTTAGAATACATTATTATGCCATTGCCACCTCTTAGGTTACTGATTGGCCTTTGGGAAGCCATCGGGAGGCAAAATCCCTCAGATCTAAATGTAGTTAAGATTACCTCTAAGTTTTTTGCAAGAATCCATGGGGGATCTCCAAACACTGGCATTGAAATTCGCATATAGTGGTTCACTGAAGAACACGATTCTAATCATCTTATTTCCTCCCCAAAAGAAAAGAAAGGAATTTCAGCCACAGGAATGAAGTCACACCATCTTTCCATTGACAACGGAAAATATATTTGTCTTCAGGAAATAATAAAAATTATAGAGTTGCACAAAAATGTGCTATCGCCCTCAGTTCCAATCTCTGCTGCTGATAAAGACATACCTGATACTGGGCAATTTACAAAAGAAAGAGGTTTAATCGATCTACAGTTCTATGTGGATGGAGAAGCCTCACAATCATGGCAGAAGGCAAGGAGGAGCAAGTCACATCTTACATGGATGGCAGCAGGCCAAAAGATAGCGCTTACACAGGGAAACTCCAGTTTTTAAAATGATCAAATCTCACAAGACTTATTCACTATCATAAGAACATCATGGGAAAGACCCATCTCCAAGATTCAATTATCTCTCAGTGGGTCCCTCCCACAACACGTGGAAATGATGGGAGTATAAGATGAGATTTGGGTGGGGACACAGAGCCAAACCATACCATTCTGCCCCTGGCCCCTCCCAAATCTCATGTCTTCACATTTCAAAATCAATCATGCCTTCTCAACAGTCCCCCAAAGTCTTAACTCATTTCAGCTTTAACTCAAAAGTCCACAGTCCAAAGTCTCCTCTGAGACAAGGTACAGGGTCTTGCTGTGTCACCCAGGCTGGAGTGCAGTGGTGCAATCTCAATTCACTGTAACCTCTGCATCCCAGGTTCAAGCAATTCTCCTGCCTCAGTCTCCTGAGTAGCTGGGTTTACAGGCATGCATCACCATGCCCAGCTATTTTTTTTTTTTTTTTTTTTTTTTTTTTTTACTAGAGATGGGGTTTCACCATGTTGGCCAGGCTGGTCTTGAACTCCTGACTTCAGGTTACCCACCCGCCTCGGCCTCTCAAAATGCTGGGATTACAGGCATGAGCCACTGTGCCCGGCCTGAAGTTATTTCTTAAGTGTAAATATTTTTTTCATTTTCTTCTTTTCCAATCTCGTAGGGCTAAATAGATCATATGCCATATAAAGACTACTCAGGCATACACATATTCTGATCAACCAAATTGTGTATTATTGTGTTATCCATTGTAAAATATATTTATTTTCCACTTCAAACAGGTCAGTTTGGGCTTGAAAGCCAGACTTCACATTTGAAGTAACAATTATAGGCTTATATGAATAAATTCTGTAATATTTTATCCTATGGTATCTCCCAAATTGTCCAAACACCAAAAGCAATTTCAAAAACTAGATTTGAAGTTTTAAAAGCACACATTTGTATTCGATTTCTACCATCAGTTCTTGGTTGGGTACAAAAATGAACAACATTGAAATGAAGGTAAAATGAAGTAATGACTTCCATTTTATTGTAAATGTAAGCCTATTAATAGTTTATATGACAAGTTCTGGAGCCTATTTATTTGGTAAAATCCTGAACCTACAATTGCTAGACGTATCATTTTAGATAATTCATGAAATGCTGTCTGCATTCATTTTCTCATGTGTAAAAGGAGGTTAATAGTATTATATCATTTACATGGTGCTATAAGGATTATGTAAAATAATGCATATAAAATGAATAGAACAGCATACGAAGCATAGTGATTAAATACTAAATGTTAACTATCAATAATATTACTAGTTGCTTATATAAACAATAATATATCAAAGTTTGTAACAAAGCAGCCATTTCTTCGAGTATTATTTCCAAACTTTGTGTGTAAGAAAAATCACTCTGTATTAGTTCCACTAAATCACATTAAATCTGCATCCACCGTCCTGTTGGAATGCCTGGAAATAAAAATTGCTAACATTTGCAATGGTGCTTCCTCACACCATTGAACAAGGATCTGAGATTATCATGTATTTGCCCGAAACTTGGGAAGGACGCTTTCATGTTGAGGTTGCCATTGTCACTGATATCTCTTCTGTCCAAAATCACATCGCCCTTTAAAGTAAAATTTAAGCAAGATAATTTTTCAACAGTTTTGGGATTCAGAAAGGCTAGTTAGCTAGATGGACATGTCCCATGTCCATCTCCTTGGAGTTTCTTTCCCTTTAGAGGATTATTGCCAGGAGTGGGACTTGAATACCCTTTACTGTCCTGCCAGCTGCAAGACTCATAGATTCCTCTCCAGGATTCTAGTCATAGTGAATTTCCCCCACCAAGGGGCAGCTCCATGGCTATGTGACCAGTGCAATCGGACAGGGCTCCACACTCCGAGACTTGCTGTTTGATGCTCGCTGGTTGCTCTCCTAATAATTTTAATAAATTTCCCTTTGAATTTGAACTGTAAAGTGATGTATGATGGGGGAATACAGCATGCCCTAGGACCTTAGAACACTGATACACACACATGGTCTTGCTTTGGGGCTTTCTGGCCTTCCCTGGACTGGTTCTCAGCAGCTGGCTTCCCAGTCTCTGCCAGTGACTGCTGACACCCTCTATCCTCAGAGGGGTCCTGGGTGTGGATGTGAAGAAGCTCAGGGTTGGGCACATGTCCCATGAGCCTAGTTACAGAGTGGGGCCCCTGGCACTTGTCAGGGTCTGTGTTCCCCTATAAGTATTCCTGTGCTGAGAGAGTGCAACATTAAGATAAAATTTTAAAACATCATGACTGTTTATAGGGAAATCACAAAAGGAAGAATGAAGCATTTTTCCTCCTTTTTTGAACAAGGGGCCCTGCGTTTTTATTTTGCACTGGAGTCCACAAGTTATGTAGCCGACCTTGCCCCCAACTACGGCATGGTTTCTTCCTCTTGCTACTTTTTCTCGCCCCATCTTTCTAGCATGGCTTCGGAAACCTATCTGTAGCAATTGAAGTTGTCTTTGAACTTTGTAATCTTTCCATGAGCCAAGGGAGAACAAACACATCTAAACAACATCCTTGAGTCACCGGATGGAGAAAACAGCAAAAATCAAAACGAAGCAAAAGGCTTAAACTGAATATCCAACTATAAAAATTGAGTAGAATGCTTTTTGAGTTTTCGGCATTTACCTGACTTGATCCCCAGAGCCAAAAAATGAGTAGGTATGATTTTACAGGTCCTTATACATTAAAATTCTCAAATATAAACATGGAGGTGTTTTTGTGTCTGCTCACTGTCATGGTTGACAAGCCCTTCAGCAACAGCACTCAGACAAAACAACCACTTACAGCTATGTAGAAAGGCTCAGGGCCAATACAGTGATTTATAGGAGAGGACACTGTGGCATTTAGATGAAGAGAATTTCATGAACACAAATCTTCCAAATGCTTCAAGGATAGGGGGATATCTTTTTTCATTTGAATTAAGAAATATTGAAAGAGATACAAGTAAAGGAATTCTACCTTACTGAAAACATAGTATATGTGAAGTGACCAAATCTTCATAAGCTGACTATTTTTTTTTTTCTTTCCTTTTGTGCTTCTAGTGCTGAAAGTCCTGTGTCCTACAAAACAGTCCAGTTCCAGGCAAAACAGGACCATTGGTCACCCTATGTGTGTTGGTCATCCTATGCATGTTATTTACTCTGCTAGGCCCACTATACAGTTACCATAGAATAATATCTGTTACTAAAATATAAACAAAGGCCCAGAGACAAAGATGAAAACTTCGTGAGGAATGCAAATCTATTTCTAGAAGAGAAAATACATTGGAAAGTGATGAATATATGAGAATGTCACGTCAAGGAATGCTGACTAAAGTACACCCAGAAATCCTGATTAATACTGAAATTCAGGGGTAAATGATAAGATATTAACTAGCAGCTCACTGTACAATGAAATACTGAGTAGGGACAAGTTGCACTGAAGTACATTAAGTTTAAATAACTTTATTTTAAGAACAACTCAATGCTAAACCTGGATGTAATATGTGAGATGATGTAATACTCATATAAAACAAAAGTGTCGTGTCAAAGAGGTTTGATTTTCATTTGTGGAATTGTTTTTATATGATTTGTATGACTTGGAAAGCAAAGTCAGTTTGATGTTTGTTCTTTTAGTTATAGCTGCAGGTATAAATAACAATATTTTTAGCAGAAGCATCTTTGAATAAAACAATGAATAATGTGTTTTATGGTTCATTAACCATGTTAATACATATTTTGCCAGTCAATTTGAAAAAACAGATTAAAGCAGGGTTTACTGATTTATTTTACAAAACTTGATCAGGAAATAAGAGCATGTTTTGATTACAGTGTCCAACCTTACAACAAATAAATTCTTTTATTCTTTGCATTTTTATATGCCAGATTTTCTTTAGCATTTCTCTCAGATATTTTCCTAGTCATAGTAGTCTTTTATTTGTTTGTTTAAATTTTTATGGTTCAGGCTGGGCGCAGTGGGTCACGCCTGAAATTCCAGCACTTTGGGAGGCTGAGGCAGGTGGATCAGAAGGTCAGGAGTTCAAGACCAGCCTGGCCAAGATGGTGAAACCCTGTCTCTACTAAAAATACAAAAATTAGCCGGGTGCAGTGGCAGGTGCCTGTAATCCCAGCTACTCGGGAGACTAAGGCAGAAGAATCACTTGAACCAGGGAGGCGGAGGCTGCAGTGAGCCGAGATTGCACCACTGCACTCTAACCTGGGCGACAGAATAAGACTCCATCTCAAGAAAAAAAAAAAATTATGGTTCAATACAAATCAGGATGATTTAAGACAAATTACATAGCAATAAAATACATTGCAAAACGGAAAAGTGATTTTCCTCATTATCCTAATTATTACTTCAAACGCTTTCAATTAGGCTTTTAATATCATTAATTTTATTCTTGATTTTTGTTTTAATTTCTTTTTTCATTTAGTTCTATATATTAAGAATAAATAGATAAAGCAATTAAGAATTCAGAAAGTCAACTAAACGAAGACATGAGCCAAAGGGAAACTTCCAAGAACCATGTAAAGTAACTTTTATGAAAGGCAATACATAGACATGAACACCTCTCTTACTTTTTATCCAACTACAATGCATCCACAGTCCGTTTTTCAAATTCTATTGTGGTCTAGCAGCAGGCAGGAAGGAGAAGACTACCACATTCCACAAAGAAGGTAATTTAGCCAGAGGAATGTGGAATCATGGCAGAATTATGTTGATGAGAAGGAAACACAAAATTTCAACTTTCTTCTATGCATTTGCACAGAGGGCCAGACGGCGCACTTCGTTATGTCTTGGACCTGCCCTAGTTATTTCCAAGTCTTCCCTCAATTGTCATTGACCTTCATTCACACATGGTTTGTTGGCCACATTAGCAAGAACTCTGTGAACAGCAGTGATGGATGTTTCTTTACTGATCCCCTTCCTCTCCTCCAATTCTCAAGGATGAGTCTCAATGGCTTATTAAATTACAGTTGAATAAACAATATAGTGGGTGTTGTTTAATGAGTTAACAGTAAAATGAACCAGAGAACTAATCAAGTGATAGCACAAATATTCACGTGTTTTAACTGAGTAAAAATCATTCCCTTTACAGTTTTATCACTTGACCTTTAATACAATTATTGGGTATCAACCTAAATGTGTCTCAGATATTGTATGTGTTATGATGAAAGCAATCCTCTACATATTTCTATATATTTTTGAATACTTGTATTTTAATGCATATTCCTATATATCTTTTTCTACATGTTTTTTGGCTTTTTAGGAAACAACATAGATATCTCCTCTTCCTAGGCCAAGTGCAGTAGCTCATGCCTGTAATCCTAGCACTTTGGGAGGCCGAGGTGGGCACATCACTTGAGGTCAGGAGTTCAAGACCAGCCTGACGAACATGGTGAAAGCCTGTCTCTACCAAAAAATACAAAAAAAAAAAAAAAAAAAATAGCGGGGCATGGTGGCACGTGATTGTACTAGTCCCAGCTACTTGGGAGGCTGCGATGGGAGAAATGCTTAAATCTGGGATCCTGAGGGAAGCTGCAGTGAGCCGAGATCATGCCATTGTGAGACCCTGTCTCAAAAAAAAAAAAAAGAAAGAAAGAAAGAAAGAAGAAGAAAAAAGATATATTTTCTTCCTAAACTTAGTATTAAATACCGTGCCCCCCATCACTCCCTTCTGTAAATTACTATATGGTTTCAGTTTTAAAGTATGGTAAGGAAAATATTTTATAAAACGAAATGGGCTTTCAAGAATAGATTTTCTATAACCAGGCCTGCAATAAGGTACAAATTTATAGAAATTAAATTTCTTTTAAATGTGTTGTACTTTCAGAAATCTGTTCTATTTCCTTTACTCCACCCCCAATATTTATTCATTTCACATAGCACTGCTTTATATTTGTTCATGAACACCCCCAGGAATAGGTGAAAGTGTCCTTGCATTGTAATCCTCACTATTAAATGAAAAAAAAAAATGTTTATGTAGACAAGGAATCACATTTAATAAATTTTGGTAACAATAAACTAAGGTCATCAAAGGAACATGTACACCTGCAGAAAATAGCCTTTGTGATAGATGATATCAATACCTAAACAGGGACACATATGTAGATTACAATATTAAAGAAAAGGAAAAGAGGAAGATAGCTTTGGGTCATTGAATTATGTGTTGTTATGGTAGTAGCAAAAATAAGAAAAACCAAATAAATAAGATTTTGTCCTGGAATTAAATATACAGGATAATAAAATTTAATAGTAAGAAAAAGAAATTTCCACAGAGCATTAACCATATGGTATGTGTTAGTTTTAAACGGTGTTTTTTAGCATGCACATTACATTACTCATGATATTATGGAGAAAAGAGTTTTTAATTTATTTAGAACTTAAATAGCAAATGATATAATGTAGACTGTCCCATTGTCCAGGAAGCCAATCTTTTATTTATTTAATATCCTTCTAAACCTTAATAATATTTAGTTTCACTATGATTTCCTGAAAACTTTTCTTCAGTGGAAGTTAATGTGGTATAATATTGAAGATATTTGCCTCTATCTAGATTTTTTTTAGTTTTCCAGCAATGTTAACTTCATGAATAGAATAATCAGAACACCATTGTTATTATGCCCTTACTTTTTCTGCAAACATAGGAAACTAAAACGAAATAATAGAACATATAATGTATATGAAAATTACTACTGTGTAGAAAAAGACCATGATCACTGGTATCTTGTCTTGGTTGTTATAGTAGTGCATTCTTAGGCTGCTAGAAAGATCTGCCTGAGACTGGGTAATTTATAAAGGAAAGAGATTTAATTGACTTACAGTTCCACATGGCTCGGGAGGTCTCAGGAATCATGGCGGAACGGGAAGCAAACACGTCCTTCTTCACATGACAGCAGGAAGGAGAAGTGCCAAGCAAAAGAGGAAAACTCCCTTATAAAACCATCAGATCTTGTGAGAATTCATTCACAATCATGAGAACAGCATGGAGGTAATCACCTCCATGATTCAGTTACTTCCCACTGGGTCCCTCCCACAACATGTGATGGTGCTGAATATTTTTGTTTTCCTAAAAATATGTTTGAGCTTTTCTGTGAGACATAATTAAATTACTTGAATATAGTTTGCTACTTTCATGTCTTGCTTGTAAGCTTTGTTAGGGAAGATCTGCACTGTATTTACTCTAGGGCTAAATTTTAATTTTTATTAAAGGTAAGACCCTTCCTAATACTCTATCTGATTCCCCATTAATTACAAGGCTTTCTACTCTGCCTTGAAATGAGCATTATCCCTGACCCTATGTGATCTGTGAGCGCCATTCTCTTTAATCTTTTTGAAACCACCCTTGCAAAAATCATAATTAAGAAAATTATTGCAGTGAGAGTTCTGACCCAACCAAATCCATATTGCTTCTAACCTCCAAGCTGTTCTTGTTCGTTCCTGGGTATAGACCAAACTAACTTTAGGAGGAACTTAGTTTATAGTTTAACTTTGAAACAAAGATGGGATAACAGCCCTTTCCCAAAACAAACCTTCTTCCTATCTGGGGACTATACTGTCTTTGCAGGACAAATAAATTAGCTACAAAATTAGAATTTATGGTTTAAGAGTCATACAGCTAGAGGCTTTAAGATTCTGAACCTCCTCAAATTGCTCCTGGGAATAACTTCTCTATTATAAAACTGACTACGAGTGCTTGAGGTATTTTGCAGAACCTGTACTTGATGCATCAGCTTGCACCACCCAGATAGATAACTGGCTCATCTGGTTTTGTGGCCCCAACCAAGGAAACAACTCAGTGCAAAAGGACAGCTTCAACTTTCTATGATTTCATCTCTGACCCAACCAATCAACACTCCTGACTCACTGGCCCCTATCCACCAAATTATCTTAAGAAAAAAAAATCCCTGAATTCTCGGGGAGACTGATTGGGGTAATAATAAAACTCTATCTCCCATACAGTTGACTCTGCATGAATTACTCTTTCTCTATTGCAATTTCCCTGTCTTGATAAATTGGCTCTGTCTAGGCAGTGGACAAAGAGAACCCACTGGTTACATTTTGAATAGGTTTCTTCCTCAGCCTCAAATTCCTTCCTCAAATGCATCTTTTGATACAACACAATGTAAATCAAAGAAAATGACTGAGGTAAGTCTCAGGAATTTTAGAGTTTAATTTTCCCAAAGTCGAGGACCTGCCTGGTATTAAAGAGGACCAAATATGGCCAGAGAATGACTCTGTAATTTTATAGTTCAGTCCTTTTGGACAAACCGTAACCTAACATAATAGGTAGACTAGAGTGAAAACCTAACAAGAGTACGTGCACATAACAATAGCTGAGTCCTAGCCAATCCCAGCAGCCATACTTCAGCCACCTATACACTGCTGAGTGTTCAAACTGTGTTCAAATGAGGCAAATGCCAAGCTGTAACCAATCCAGCTGTTTCTGTACCTCACTTCCGATTTCTGTACACCACTTTCCTTTATTTGTTTATAATTTTTTTCTGACCATGAGGCATCCCTGGAGTCCATCTGAATCTGATGTGATCCTGGGTGCTGCCCAATTCATGAATTTTTTTTTCCTTGTGTAATTAAACTCCGTTAAATTTAAATTGTCTGAAGTTTTCCTTTTAAACTGGGAAAAAGGAACACAAAACCACAGGAACGTGTGTGATCTAAGCTTTTCCAAAGGCAGCCTGGGGTCTTCTCTATTTAAAGGGGAAAGGGTGGGCAGTCGGGGAAAGAGGAAAGGGAAAGAAGAAAAAAAGGAGAGGGAAGATAGATAAAAGGGGCAAGAGGTTGCATAGCTGCATTCTTTTGAGTCTTTGATCAGCGTTTTCTGAATCGACATTTTACATTTGAAAGGAGGGGGTCAGTCAATTATGCATGCCTCTCATGCTCAGTGAATCTGCATTTTTACGTAAGCTAAACACAGATTAGAGAAAGCAGACAAATATGTAGTTGTGTCAGGTGAGCAGAGGGATGATTTTGAATTCTGTCCTTTGTCCTATACCTGTGAAGATAAGCTGTTAATTTACATTGTCAGGATGAAATTCAACAGAATTGTTTTAGGGTAAATGTCTTGGGGACCACAGGGAATTTCCTAGTGCACAAATTGTGAGGGAGGTATGTAAACTTGTGTCTTTAGCTATCTATTTAGGAACAAAATGGGAAGTGGTTTTCTGTGACTCCGTTCTTAAGCTTGACTTTTCTCTTCCGCATAGTGAGTTTGGGGTCCTGAGATTTTTTTTTTTTTCACAAGTACTTAATTGAATCCCTGAAGGGGAGTCTGCACATCTAAGGAGTTCTCTTTCTGTGTGGGTTTTTTCTCTCCAGTGTTCTACCGAGTGTATAATAGAGAATTTGGCTTCTTCAGATTCCTGATTTTACCTCCACCAAGTTCTGCCTGGGTTTCCTCTCCATAAGCCATGATCTGGACAGCCCCTCCAGCAAATAAGATGGGCATGCATAGGTGTTATGACATTATTTTGTGTACCTCAGGAATCCCTGTTTTTTGTTGTTGTTGAATGACCAGTGTCTTCAATGCCAGTGTTTCATATATTTTTGTCTTTTTGTTATTAGGTCACATGAGAGTATAAATCGAGTCCCTGCTATTCCAACTTGAATCAACCTGTGGGTTATTTATAAGTTTAATCTGTTGTAACCAATATAACAGTTGCTGTAGAAAATGGCTTGCTATATAACTCAAAATATCCTGAAAAGTCTTAATAGTTAGGCAGCTTACAGCAAGTACATAGATATGGCAGGTATTGCAGGTTGTATTGCTATATACCTTTCTTGTGTCAGAGAAAATACTTGCCAAACTGTCACCTTTGAAAACTTGAAAATCAAGCCATGTGCCTACTAAGCTTGCAATTCTAGGGGAAACATTTGTATAGATCCAGAATGTCAATATGTATCAGTGGTGTTTCTTAAGGCTTACAGCAAAGTACTACAAACATAGAGATGAGCTCTGGAAAAACTGGATGTTTTACAGGTGATAGAAAGAATTTATAAATTCAAGACATTAAAGGTTGGGAAGCGGTCTGCAAGTACATTTCCTACTAGGGCAAGTGTTTCAGATAGCCTCAAGAGATACACCATCGTGTGTGTGTGTGTGTGTGTGTGTGTGTGTGTGTGTGAGAGAGAGAGAGAGTGAGACAGAGAGATGAGAGAGAGAGAGCACTGAAAAAAAGTAAATAAATACAGCAGGAATAAGTACAATATCCAGAAAATATTTTGATATGATTATTAACCCACATATGTGACTATAATGAAATTTTCCAGGAATCTGTATGTTTGAGAGAATTATATTACTGATCAAACCTCAAGTTTGGCCTGAAAAGTCTGCGATTAATCAACAATTATTATGACTCTTCAGACCCCAAATGTGTGAAACCACCTTTGCAAAAATTGTAACAGTGAGAAAATTATAGCAGTGGGGGAGATCTGATCTGACCAACCCCCATTCTGCCTTTGGTCTTCAAGCTGCCCTTAGTTGTTCTTGGGCTTAGGCCAAGATAACTTTCAGAGACATTTATTTTATAGTTTAAATGATAAAAGCCCTTCTCCCAGACTCAGATGCCTTTGTAAAGCTCATGAAAAATCACGAGGCTATGGGGATAGAGGAGCCTGAATTCTACTAAGGTGTCAACTTAATTCCAGAGGTTAGATGTAATTCCAGCCGTTATTCCAGAGGTCACAAGATATGCAGTTTCTCCAATTGCTCCTGCAGACAACATAACTATTGTAGAACCTAAGATTGGCATTTGGAGACACCTTTTCAGCAATTTTCCATTTCTGATGACTGATGGCTCCACCTGGACCCATCTGTGGCCCACAGGGAATTCCCTGGTGAGCAAATTGTGAGGGGGGTATGTAAACTCTTATCTTTGTAGCTATCTATTTAGGAACAAAATGGGAAGTGGTTTTGTGTGACTCGATTCTCAAGCTTGACTTTTCCTTTTGGCATACAGAGTGGCATCACAGAGGAAGGGAGTATCCTTTAAAGGTGGGAAAAATGCAGATGGTCCTTTGATGGCCGGGGCAGAGGGTGGCAAAGGTTAGTGGCACAGGACCCACCTATGGCTCCTATGGCCTCACCCGGAAGTGTCTCAGCATGAAGGAGGACCATTTCCCACACCCCTATGATTTCACCCTCAGCAAGTCAACAGTGAGCACCCATTGCCTAGCCACCCCCAACCCTTCACCCAAACTACTTTTGAAAAATCCTAGCCCCCAAATGCTCAGAGAGATTGATTTCAGTAATAATTGCATCTCCCTCAAGGCGTAACCAGACTTGCATGAATTAAACTCTTTTTTTACTGCAATGCCACTGTTCCCATGATTTGATGTTGTTTGTACTGTGGGTAGGAAGAACTCATCAGATGGTCACACATACATTAGGCTGCAAAAGATTCTCATTCTCCAAGAAGGGCATACTTTCCTATGTTCACAGTGGTGATAGAGGATTATGACCAAGGAAGAACATTTCAGAAGGCAAAGTCAAAGCCAAAAAAAGCAAGAGATTATATATTTCCACTGTTCAAAGTATTTTCTCCATTAACAGGGAAGAATGTCTTCCCATTCCTGTCCAACAGTATTGCATTATTGTTATGCTTCAATTTCTACTGAGTAATTCCTATTTTCCCTTTACTAATCGAAATACTTTGTTGCTGTCATTGCTATCTTGTTCTTTGTCACCATTTACATTGGTAGAATCTGATATTTCATTCATTAGGTTTCTGGACCGTAGAGATTCACTTGCAGACCTGATGTAGAAGGCTGAACCCCACCCAGAGGTTGTAAATTTGAGCTGAATACAATGTCTGTATTAGACATCAGCTTCTTCACAGAGGAAGGGAGTATACTCCAAAATTGGGAAAAATGCAGACAGTCATTTGATGGCCAGGGGCAGAGGGTGGCAAACACTGATGGCTGACCACAAAATCCATCCTCTTTTTCATGAACATGCAGATAGACTGCCTTTCCAAGCCTCCCTTGAGCTTAATGCTTAATTTTGACAATGTATTTGCACCTAGACAAGGTAATGTGACTATAAGTGATGTGTGCTAATCTGGTTGTGGCTTTTGAAGCAAAAGCGTATCTCTACACAGACTTTCTCCTTCTGAAAATGCATGTAGATCACAGTAAGACATTAGTAGTTGGAAGAGCCACACAACAGAAGAAGGCTGGATTCTTGAATCACCACATGAATCAGATCCATTTGCCCACTAAATATGTGCTCTCAATAATCCTTAAGAAAAAAACACCTCTTTAATCTTTGAACTTTTGTGTTCTCTTATCTCTTATACTGATATCCCCTGTTACAGTTAATGTACTCCAACATCTAACAATTCCTCTCTTATGATATATCCTTGAGAATCTGTTGCTTATATGCACCAGGGCATGTATATAAGAATGCTCAAAGTAGTACAGGGCATTAAGATAGATACCCAATAATAACTGAGTACCCTTTATACAGGAAAATTAACAGTTGCATATTTATGAAATAGAATATGGAACATAAGCAAATATGAACTGTATGTAGTATCATGAATAAATCTTAGACACGTGGCATAATGTGATAAAAGCCAGATGCAGAAGACAAATTGCAGTATAATACATTTTAAAGCTCAAAAATAAGCATAGGTTAAATATTTGATGTTTAGAGTTACATACATAAGTGAATAAGTTTAAAAGTAGATACGACAAATTTATAAACAAAATTGGAAGTGGGAAAAAGCATACCAATCTAGGGTACTGTTAAAGTTTTACTCCTTGGGCTACATATTGGTTTTATGGGTATACATTATATTATCATGTTTAATGATTCACATGTATGTTATATGTAGTGTTTTATACTTATCCAACATTATAAATAAAATGTAGTAAAGAAAAAAAAATCCAAAGCAATTGTTATTGATGCAACAAACTAGAAGATATTGCTACTTTCTGAAATCCCTTTTGCTCTGTCATTATTTCAAATGTAAACTTCATTTTCATCCCACACAAACACACCAAGGCTCATAGGGTGTGGAGCTTGGTGATGACCATTGATGATGAGTGAGGCAGCCATTTGGGGACAATGTGGAAAGACGTAGAAGAAACTATACTGTGGTGGATCAAAATTGAGTGAGAAAGTTAATGCACATCCCAGTTCTGTCCCAGAGGACAGAATTTGGAACTGCCTCTTTTCTGCTCATAAAGTCTTTAAAATAATAGCAAATATATTTTCATGGAATATTTCTAAATTTACAAGGCTAAAGAGCAAAAGAATCCCATGAACGGATCATAAATTTTGAATTCTTGAAAAAAGGAAAGACAACTCTAATTGGTGGGGTGAAAACACCATGCAAAATATATAACCCGTCTAGGGTGGAAGTGGAACAATTCTGGAGGTGTGCCAAGTATGGAGTCAGTAGGGGCAAAACAGGAGAGCGTCTTTCAGTGATCTCTTAAGGGGCCGGAGAGCAACTGGGCATGTCCTTATTTCCTGGCTTCGGCTTGGATGAGGTAATTGGCATTGATGATGACTGTCCCTGGGGTTAATTCACTCTCTTTAGACCCTGAAGCGAGAGTGGTACACAGTGTTTTATGTCTTGTACTCTAGATGGAGATTGCCTGAAGGAAAGGGATAAATAAATTCTACATGGAGGAAAGTTAAAGGACTGTTAGACTTGGTTCAGTAGCACATTCTGCATCCCTTCTGAGAATAGAAGTTTCATTCTCAATCAAGAACATGAAGTTTCCCATGTGTGAATAGAAGCTCAATAAATATTTAATCAAAAGAAATGCTAAATAGGAGTGGTGAGAGAGGGCATCCTTGTCTTTCACCAGTTTTCAGAGGGAATGCTTACAGCTTTTGCCCATTCAATGTGATATTGGCTGTGGGTTTGTCATAAATAGCCCTTATTATTTTGAGTTATGTTCCATCAATATGTAGTTTATTGAGAGTTTTAACATGTAGAAATGTTGAATTTTATCAAAGGCCTTTTCTACATCTGTTGAGAAAATCATGTGGTTTTTGTCTTTGGTTCTGTTTATGTGATGGATTACGTTTATTGATTTGCTTATGTTGAACCAGCCTTGCATCCCAGGGATGACGCTGACTTGATCGTGGTGGATACATTTTTGGATGTGCTGCTGGATTTGTTTTGCCAGTATTTTATTGAAGATTTTCACATCGATGTTCATCAGGGATATTGGCCTGAAGTTGTCCTTTTTTGTTGTGTCTCTGCCAGGTTTTGGTATCAGGATGATGCTGCTTCATAAAATAAGTTAGGGAGGAGACCCTCCTTTTCATTTGCTTGGGATAGTTTCAGAAGGAATGGTACCAACTCCTCTTTGTACCTCTGGTAGAATTCAGCTGTGAATCCTTCTTGTCCTGGGCTTTTTTCTTTTTTGGTTGGTAAGCTATTAATTATTGCCCCAATTTCAGAACTTGTTTGTTATTGGTCTATTCAGGGATTCAACTTCTTCATGGTTTAGTCTTGGGAGGGTGCATATATCCAGGAATTTATCCATTTCTTCTAGATTTTCTAGTTTATTTTTGTAGAAGAGTTTATAGTATTTTCTGATGGTAGTTTGTATTTCTGTGGGGTCAGTGGTGATGTCCCCTTTATCATTTTTTATTGTGTCTATTCTTCTCTCCTTTCTTCTTTATTAGTCTAGCTAGCAGTCTATTTTGTTAATCTTTTCAAAGAAACAGCTCCTAGATTCGTTGATTTTTTGGAGGTTTTTTTCATGTCTCTATCTCCTTCAATTCTGCCCCGATCTTAGTTATTTTCTGTCTTCGGCAAGCTTTTGGATGGGTTTGCTCTTGCTTCTCTAGCTCTTTTAATTGTGATGTTAGGGTGTCAGTTTGAGATATTTCTAGCATTCTGACAAGAGCACCAAACTCAACAATAATTAGCACCAGAAGAAAATGAGTTAGTAGTACATGTAGATAAGATCAAACCATCAGATCTACTCACATTCATTAATTTAAAAAGTTAAACAGAATACTTTGGTCAAATTACTAAACGAGGACTTCTGAACTGAAATATTTAGCTAAGAGACTTATCTAAAACATAGAACCAAATTTTTAAAAACAATAAGAGCATAAGAAAGAAAGTGTGGATAGAAACCTGAGAGGAAGAAATGGTCTCCAGGTTGAGAGGGTATACTGAGAGCTGAGACAGATGGATAGAAAAGGGCTAACGCAGACAAATTACAGTGAAACTCAAGAATTTCTAAAGAAAAGAAGAGCCTAAAAACTTTCAGATAGTAAAATAACAGAAACAAATGGGCTCCCTACCAAAAGAAGAACAAGAATAAGAAAAAAACAGCTACAGTCCTCAATGGTAAAAATGAAAATCACCAAGGTCAATCAATGTCTTCATGTCTTCATGCCTGGGAAGGAAAATATTCAAAAAGTATGTAATCTCATCTTCTGTGAAACCAGCATTATAGCATGAGGGAAAATAGAGATATTATCAAAATATTAGAGGGCAAAAAATCAGAAAAAAAGAAAAATCAATCAAAGAAAAATGATTAGAACAGGACTGCAAAAAGGAAAAATTAAGTCAAATTGTATCATCAGTCTCATATATTATTATATCCAATTATATCAAATCTCATAAAATCATCGAAAATCATATACTAAGATTAAATTATAACATTTTAAGCTTTCAGATTTGGTTTAAAACATTTAGTTTTATGATATATAGAAACCACATGAAATAAAAATAACACATGCATCAGAAATACCTAGCAAAATAAAAAGGTTTTCCCTTCTGCAAAATTTAAATCCAAAGAAACAGAGCTGGTTGATGATATGGTCAAATATACTTCTATTACACTGTTGTACCTTCTACCTTTTATTCTTCTTATTGCTGTCTGCTACTTCAGCAGAAGTCTGAATCTGTTCCCCAAAAATTCATGTTGAAACTTAATCAGCAATATGATAATATTCAGAGGTGAAGCCTTTAAGAGATAATTAAGTCATAAGATCAGAGCCCACATGAATGACATTAGTGACCTTAGACATCAAAACAGCTTTTCATCACTCTTCTGCCCTTCTGCCATCTGGAACACAGAGTTGAAGACACCTTCTTGGAAGCGGAGACTGTACCCTCACCAGACACCAAACCCACTGCCATCTTGATCTTGAACTTTCCAACCTTCAGAAACATGAGCAATAAATTTTTGCTGTTTTTAAATTACCCAGTCTCAGATACTTTCTTATAGCAGCATGAATGGGCTAGAACACTATCCTTACAGACAGTATGGTTGTTTGATGTCTCTCTTGTTTGTTAGAAGTGCAGAAGGTGTTCCTTAAAGACCTTCTCTGACCTCTTCATTTTAAAAAGGAGAAAAATGGGTGTTTAGAGAGATTTAATGGCTGGCAGAGGACCACACTGTCTGATTCTTTTGGAGTTCTCCTGCAATGACATTATATGTTCTGTTTATTGCCCTTAAAAATTATGTACTCTAACTATTCCAAGAAGTTTGTTTCTAATAGAGATATAATCCCAATTCCATCTATAGTAAATCAAGAAGAGAGGCCTCTGGTATTTTTAAACTCATTCTAGAAAAAAAAAATTCACCTTTTAAAAAATCCCCAATGATTCAGGTGGTACTTTCTGGGCAGCCAAGGGAAATGAGGTAATAATGAATAGACCCTATTGTCACATAGATCAGGGCATGTTAAATGCGGTTATTCCATATTATGTAATTTCCCAGTAAGCATGGAAATCAAGCACCTATACCTCTTTTTTCCCCCAAATGAGTTAGATTTAATCATCAGAAGCAAATTAAATGGAAATTTTACAATAGAGAAGTATTACATGTCAGTGTCTTTTGAAACCTGAGTTTGGACAGGAAGGGACTGGGTGCTACCTCTCAGTCTAATCCCTTGCAAAGACATGTACAGTGTCCCTGGTACTTTGGCTCAGGAAAGGGGGAGACTCTGCTGGTTCTGTATGTTGAAATCAACTTGCCCACCACTCACTCTTTGCTAGCACCAGTAGTCTTGCCTTGCTGGCCCTGCTCCTTGCCCTTCCTTTTGTGGCCTGTAGTAATGACATCAATCCATAAGAGCAGAACTACAGTCTCCATTGCTGCCCTTGATGTCTGCAGCTTCACAGCCAATGGCTCCTATATGCCCAGTTCCTTCATCTCCACCAAAATACTTGTCTCACCACTTACACCCCAGGTCTCATGGTTCTTCTAGGTGTGCTTGGTCTGAAGGGAGGTATTATAATAATAAGCAGATGGATGTTAATGGCCCCACGGTTCTGGATTAGGGTAAGAGAGATGACCTCTACAACCCGGGTAACAGCCCTGTATGGCCATTGTTCATACCAGTCATGACCTTGGATTTTTCTGTCAAGACATGGATCACAGCCATCTCAGAGGCCCCATCCCCTGGCACCAAATGCGGGTCAAAAAGAAAGTTGCAATAAACTTGCACAGCATCCTGGATGTTGTGGTCCATTTTAGAGAGAGTCTCTTTGCCATTCCCCTGGAGGAGAATGGTGCGAACCTTGGGGTCTTTGCATTTACTGATGAATGCAAAGTCCTCATCTCCAATTTTCTTGATTTTCAGCATGCCTACTCCTGTTCCTGTATTAAATAAGATATCAACATGGATTTCAGGAACTCTCCTATGATATACACAATCACTGTCATTTGGTGTGATGGTTACTGTATTTGAAATCTTCCAATGGGCTAAGTTGAGCGTAATGAGTGAATAAAACAGTAAGTTCAACTGAATATACTCAATTTCTCAAGAGACTTTATTTTGTCTTAGAATGTCATGACAAAACAGTCTAAACAGTCAGTGATGGCAATTGTTAGGATCGTGCCCCTTACTTTTACATTGCATCATATCTTATTCATAAGATTATCCAAAGTGAAGGACCAGCAGGACAACTATAAAATTACATCAGTGTTTTCAAATATATTCATTTAAAAAAAAAGTAATAAAAAATAAGAATTTGGTTGCAATGAACAAGGGAAATAATTGCTACTTAAACTTTTACCTTATGGCTTTTAAAAAATGTGTTATACAAAGTAACAGAGCGGAAATCCTTTCTGTTATATTTAGTCTTTTAAAGTTCTGTCTGTTTTTGAAATAATTTTTTTAAAAATCAATGCAAAAATCCTTTTGGTGAATGGTGTTTTGATAACCTCTCTACAAAAGCTGTTCTGGGCATCCTTCACCACTTGCCTGTGTGCATTATCTGTAATCGTCTTTTAATAGACTGAGACTAAATTATTAGAAAAAAATCGCATCGCCAGGGAGTAAGGGTTGTCAGATACTACTGAGATGTAATACATCAAATGCTCAGGCTTTCAGCTTTATCTTATACGCTGTTCATTTTCAGGATACACATTTCAAAAAAAAGTTTTCAACCTTTCTAACCTGTTCTAATTTCAAATGAGCAAAGAAATGAGCACTAACAACAAAGGGAACAATAGAATTAATGAGTCCTGGACAACAGCAACATATTAGATAAAGGGTTTGTGACTAAAAGGAAGATAATTCAAGCCTTCTTTTTCCAGGAGCACGTATTTGGACTCAAAACTAAGTAAAAGTTCCCAAAAAAAGAGTTCTCTTTTATAATCAGGACTTACAGTGGCTTCAAATTTTCAAGAAAAATACAAAATTTTGCAAATGGAAAACTTCGTGGTAATCAATGATTCATTTTTGTCTTAGTCCCATAAATAAAGTCCCAGTAAAATTATGAAAATGCAACCTGTATCTAAAGCAGTTCTGCATGGCCAAAAACTGACAATAATTAAAAGTTTGATATAATAATAAATAATTATAGGTCTAGAATTTTAAAAAACTAATTTTTAATTCCAGGTTAATTTTCTTTCTGTTGAACTTTATTCACCTTGATCATTTTTCATCTTTCTGGAGATTTTCTGTCACTCATATCAGTCACAAATAACTTTGCATAACTATTTTCTCCTTCATCACATACAATAGTTTCTTCTGTGTTTTTCCATTAAATTTGTTCTGTTGTGATGTGGCTCTACAATTTACTTCCATGACTAGAATTGCTTCTTTGCTTGCATTCATCAAATGATCACCTTCTTGTCCTTTATAACACTGATCATTATTCAGCTTCTCAATCTTGTAATTTTCTGAGTAGAAACAAGCTGAGAGGATCTTGTTTTTGATCTAAATATAAACAATCTATTCCAATCCACAATGATATGTGCTCATTTCTGCTTTTTAAAAAGTGCTAAAAGTTGCTAGTGTGAAAACTCTTAATATTATGTTCTCCTTTAGCCAATAATTCCACTTTTTGGAATTTTTCCTGTGAAACTGTGTGCAAAGATTTTTATTTTAATGGTAACGTTAAATAGGAATCGGTGGGAGGCAAAAGTCCAACAGATGGCAGTGGACTAAATAAATTTTGATGGGCTATTTCATTAATTCATAAAATGAAAATAATAAAAAAGAATGTATTGAGTTGAAAACATATTTTAAGTGAACAAAACTAAATGAAAGTCTATTCAGCACCTATTCTTGTTTAGAACATAAGTTTTCAAATATGTGTATGTTCTCAAACACAACTGGAAAATATTTCATCATATTCTATACATGATCTTTATTTAGTAGGATGAAATGATAATTTTCTCTTTTGATTTTGAAAAGAAAAATTTGATGCAAAAATACTTCTAGGTTGGTTGACTTTTTCTCCTTATGAAAAGAGCTTTTATTTTTAACCAAGGCTCACTCTTCATAAAAAAAACTATTGGTGGCTTTTTTTTTGTGCAAAGAGCATGAGCAATGTTATAAATGAACATTTCTGTGCATATTAATAACCTTAGATCTACATTCGGACTCAAAATCTGAGAGAAACTGTAATGCTCTTTAATTTTTATAGTCATGCATTGTATAATGACTTTTTGGTCAATGACGAACTCCTTATATGTTGGTGGCCCCATAAAATTATCATATCATATTTTTACTGTACCTTTTCTATGTTTAAATGTGTTTAGATACACAAACACCATTGTGTTACAATTGTCCACCTTATCAGGACGGTAACATGCTCTTCAGACTTGCAGCCTAGGAGCACTAGGCTATGCCATATGACCTAGATGTGTAGTAGGCTATCTCATCTAGGTTTGTGTGAATACACTCTAGGATGGTCACACAATGACATTGCCTAACAACACATTTCTCAGAATGTGTCCCCATTGTTAAATAATGCATAATTATGTTTTAATCACACTTTCATTAATATGAATAAAACTTTAGCAAAAGGGACTTTCAGATTGTTTTCTAGACCTATACACTTAGGGAAATGCTTAAAGATCAGCCTTGTTTGCACCTCTGTTTATCAAGTTCTTGAAGGCAAGATACACGTAACAAATTGCTTGTCTGTTCACCTTCATATCCAGGTTTATGAGTACTATTTATGTATTTAATTAAATACATTAATAATGTAATTAGATTTATGTAAATGTAACTTTATTTTTAAATTATTTTTTAAAATAGAGAAAGTTTATTTATAATGCCTCCACTTGGAGTAATCACTTTTAATAATTTGGTTCATAAATTTCCAGACACTTTTCTACATTCATTTGTAGAATGTTTTGTATAGTATATCAGGTGCCTTTATAGTGTTTAAAAAGTTTGAAACTATATAGTGTTTTAAATTTTTGTATTGTGGAATTTATTTTTCCATCATTATTTCTACATTGGGGGGCCATTATATGTATGTGTGTGTATACATAATATATACATTGTATCCATATATATATACACCCTTATATGTAGTATTACATTTCTATGATTTTACTTTTTATGGTAAAATATTTAAAACTTTATAAATATGTTAATATATCAGAATTAGATGTAAGTTTACTATTCTTTGAAATTTTAAGTGGATTATATTAATAATATTCATTGAAATATCAATATTATGCACAGTCTCATCAAGTTCCATTGCCTTCTTCATTTTCAAAAAATGTGCTTATCTACTCCTTAATCCACACACTAATATTGTGAAGTAATGTCTTACTCACACTCCCTCCGCCACTATATATGGTATGAGTACACATAGGATATGTATTCATATCTGTTTATAACTTCCTTCCTCAAGTTTCAGAGGGTAAGTTATTTAATCACTTGAAAGCCATTTATCATGACTTCTTTGGCAGCAAGATAATATTTTCTTCCCCCTTAAAACATCTTTCTAATTTACTTGGTTTTAATAAACGGGAAAAAATGGAAACATAGTTTTGAAAACCTAGACTCATTTTTATTTTCAAAGAAAAGATTTGACAAGAGATTTCTTGCATGAAGTTACATTCTTCTGAGAAGCATAAGAATAACATAGCGGCTGATCAGATATTATGTTGGGGAAATGTGAAGTTCAGGTGGCTTGGCTTAAAAAAACACACAGTGTAACCTAGGGAAATTAAGGTGATATCTCATTCATCGAAAGCAATTTCTCTCAGTTTAATATCGTTTGGAAAACTGGTAGGGCAAATTATCACAACAACTGTGAAAGAAAAGGTGAAACTTGGAGTTTCTTTCGTAGACTATAGAATCTGTGTATTTCCTCCTCTAACAATTCCTTTGATTCCTTCTAAACAATGATGGTTGAAAAAAATAAGTAATAATTGAAGTTTTATATGTTGTAAATATTGGGGAGATGATGTCAATGACAATTTTATGTAAATTATGTTTTAATAGACTATGAAAGCAGATCAAGTAGTTACATCTCACACACACACACACACACACACACACACACACACACACACACACGGAAAGTGAGGAGAGAGAGGAAAGATCTATTTCTCCACTAATAATGTTTTGCTCTTAGCTTTTTATTTTATTTCTTATCAGATTCAATTCTTCCTCAATTAATGTTTAATATAATAACATATTGTTATACTAATGAATTCATTTAAATTGCTGTTTTTTGTTTTTGGTTAATACCTTGGCCCTTCTTCCAATCAAAGTAGACCTTTAAGTTGAGACACTTTGAGGATGAATCATATACTTGTCTTTCAGTGCCAATATAGATTGGTGAAACGTATAGCACAGAAAATAATCTTGAAATCAGAAGATTTTGACTTCTAAGAGTACATTAAATCATAGCAGGCTAACCAAGCCTTGAAGAAGGAAGGGAATAGTGTTTGTCCGTAATCAATAGATTGTGAAGAGGATATGAATATGTAAAAACAGTAGTTATTAAATTCTAATAACCAACATGGTTGTATATTTACTTGTAAAAGGCCTCCACAGTAAATAATGGGATGGTGAAGATGTCTGAAACATGGGAAATGTAGAGAAGGAGACTGAAAGATAAAGGATGCATTGGATTCCATGTTTTCTGGGTGAATCCAACACACAAAAAAACATTTTTATTTTATTTACAAAAGCCAGTTTCATCTGTTGCAATGTGAATATCAAATATTAATAGTTGCATTTATAATATCTCATTTACATGTATAATTGAACCATGTCAAAACCCAGTCTGACACATGATAGCTTTTGGTTAAACCAGCAAATGCAATTACGTTTCGCAATTGGAGTCTTTTTCAATCACTTGTCAAAAGCACAAGTGTTTCATTTTATTTTTTTGAAATTCACTTGAAACTATGAAAATGATTTAAGTATACATGATTTAATTATCTCATAAATAAGAGGTAGGAGAACTACTGAACATATGAAGTTGTAAAAAATAATTTTCAATGATTTCTGCTTTGTGATTCTGTAGAAGCTAGAAATCCTTTATGAAAGTAGGACCTGGGCACATATTCATAAGATTACATATTCTATCAAATTCCTTGCTTTCTCTCTGAATAATTGTGAAGTGGAGGCAACATATTATTGCCTGGATACTTAAATTATTTCACAGAATAGGCTTTCTGGTCACCATGAACAATTTGAAGTGTTCTCGATATTATAAAATTATAAATACCCTTCATCATTAGGCTGAACATTCAATTAATCAAGTGTTATTCTCATTTTCCTTAAACCATTATGTTATAAAATAGATTTAAGTCTGCAAGAGTCTTCCATGCATATAAAAATAATCAAACTCAATATAAAGTACACTTAAGGTATTCGAATCTATTCTACCTCCGAAATAACTGCATACAAATGAAGTGTTAGAATCAATTTTATATTATATGTTATTAATAACTTAGTTTAGCTATAGATATGTCAGCCTATATATAATAGAAAATACATGAGAAATTTGAAAGGTGCTGAAATACTTTTCACTAAATTATAGGTATATACTTGCTTCAAAATGTTTTTCAAACTAATAATTGAGCTTGATTTTTCAAGCATGTAATTGTCAATTAATAAATTCTGCAACTGTGCACTCATAATTTCTAGGCTTCTAAATGAGTTAAAAGAGCTTCCAAAACTGACACATTCACTCCCAAGTTATATAGGTTATGCCTTGGGAAAAACATGGATCATTCTGCAACCCAATGACTAAGTTATGTATTTCCAGAGCCAATAACAGGCAGTTAAGTTCACTGCCTTTCCCTAGCAAGGCTATGTTGAAAGGAAACAGTAAGAATAACTAGCAATAAATTGGTAATTTTTTATAAGGAAGCAAAAAATGTTTATTGACCTATTTTCCATTCCCAGTATAATAAAATCAAATTTTATTGCTCTTCCAATATTTTACTTGTCCTTGGAATTTAAGCATATTCAAATATATATTTTGTTGAGATTTCATATGACGTTGATAGAATAATGAAAACAATGTGTCAAATAATTTAGTACTGGTTATACGTTTCATTGTGAAGAGCATCATAGTAAATGATAGCTAATGTTGTAATTCCAGCATACAGTTGTCAACTGCTATTGCATTTGATGGTGTTAATTATAATCATGGGGGAAACATTTGATTAAATATTGTCTTAACTTAAAAGATCTAAGTTAATAAATTGTTCTCTAATTTAAATGTATGTAATCATCTTATAATATTTAATATAACATTCAGTAGTAAATACCCGTTGAATAAACTTTTGACATCTAATTAGGAGAGTTCAAATTCAAAATATATTTTACAGGAGAAATTCTTAGAAGATGGCAAAGGGTATTAGAGAGTGATATTTTAAATTTCTCATTAAAAACATCATGGATATGCCAGAAACCAAGAGCTGTTATATATATATGTCTATACATATTTATTTTTACAATAAATATATCTGTCTTATATATTTATATAATTTTTTCAAGGAGCACTACTTACAAGAGTAATCAGAAAATCTAAATATCTAGAAATAAATCTAACCAAATATATGTAATTATACAATAACATTATGAAGAGAGTGAGAAAGAGAATTGTTTATTTTACTTTTCATGGGATACAATAAAACATTTATACATTAAATGTTCTTTGAAGGACCTAGAGAAACATTGTATTATTCTGAGATGTTTTTACCCTTACTTAATCACTGTTTGCTATTCTAGGCAAAACAAAAACAAAACACAGACACACACAAATTCCTCTCCAGTAAGTAGTGTTTCAAGCAGCAGCTTGTTGAGACTATGATGCAGAGAGATTTGGATCTCATCCAGGTTCCACAACAGCATAGCTGCATGACATTGAACAAATTACCTACCTTCTCTGATCATTAAGCTTCATCCCTACAATGGGAATACCCCTATGTCCCTACTGGCAAGACAGAACTGAGCTAGCAGACACAATGTGCCTTTTAACAGTGTTTGGAACTTGATAAATATTAAGTTATAGTTTATATCAATCCTCTTCCTTTTTGCCTTCATATCACTAATATGAGTTTTCTATGTTATTTGAGAAAATGCAATTCTACTACAGAAAACAGGAAAACAAACCAGGATGAAATAAAATATTATGTATAGATGGTAAGTAAATAAACTGCCATGTGAATATGGAAAGGATTCATGAGACATATTATATAGAGAGTAATTTAGTAGCTTGTAAGATATGCTGAAGACAAAATAAGTGGAATATATAGTAGTATCTGCCAAACTTTTTATTCCTAGATGAAAAGGAATAAAAAGACCAAAAGGCCAAATCACACAGCTGCCACCTCTGGGTCTCTAAATCAACCACCTTTGATAACAAACAGTAGGGTTCCTTCCTGGCTCCCTAAGCCTGTCTCCAGGTGAGTTGGCAACTCCAGCTGGGATTCAGTATAATTGCCCCTCCAGCTCTCTAATAGAGCAAGTGTGTCTTGGCCACAAGCATATTCCTTCTGTCAAGTCCTCATTCTCAGTTCTGGTTCCCTTGGACCATGTCCCTCGTGTATTAGAGGAGGAGGAGTGTGAGAACATGGCCAGCTTCCAGCTCCAAGCCCCTAGAGTCACAAATCCAGCCTGTATAGGGGAAACAATAAGGCTTATGATATGAGATTTCTAGAATTCAAGCTAAGGAACATAAAACTATGGAATAATTACAAAATTGAAACTATAAACTATATGCTGTTAAGAGACCTACTACCCAACAACAAAGTGAGTTTCAACATGGTACATTTAAATGCAGTGCCTGAGAAATAATAAAACCTTTTCTTTTATATCTAAGGAGCTGAGACTCCTCTAATCACCAGTTATACAAGTAGTAAAACTATAATTAACCAGATCATTAACAATGACTACAAATGTTCTTAGATATTTTCAAATTAAAGCAAAAAATAAAATCTATGCGTTCTAAATACATTTAGATCAAATTATCTCATCTCTTGTTGAAAATATAATAACTATTTTCTTCAATATCATTGATTGCTTTCAGTTAGGAGGAAAGAATAAGGGCTAAAACATTATCAATTGGTGGATTCTTCGTTTTGATTTCTCTTACTGTACATATAACACCAGTTTTTATCTCCTTTTTAAAAAGTCACTTAAAATGTATTTATAAAAGTAATAACTAATACCAGTGCCTGAAAGCAAGAGATCATTCTTCTTAGATGCCTATATACAGGTCTTACCCTCAGAGCTGATTATTTTTGGGAAACTTACTCTCTGAGCATGCCAATAGCCCGGCAGTTCAGTTCTTTCTATATACCAATACCATCATCTCTATAGAAGATATGGGTCCTTATTGGTAGGGAAGATCTTCAGAAGATATAATGGGCACAACTATTTTTGATCCCTTTTTTTTTAATAAACACAAAATACCTCAACATTTTATTGAAAAGTCTAAGGTTGTAAGGAAAGTACTGATGTGTGAAACATTGCATGATGTCATAAATGAAATATTTTGAAAGTGTGTCCTGTGCTCACTTGCTATTTGGCAAAAGTAATTATAAGGCAACCATGGTATGGACAAGACTTTTTGGTGAATTTAGAAGTTTAATTCCATGCCTTATAGAGGAAGGCTGTAAAACAAAATGTTGTTTACCTCCTATTAATGGATAATATAAGTTTATTTAGGTAAAAAGGCATTTTCCTATAACTGTCCCAAATCTGTAAAGAACAAAAGTATATATATAATCTGGCCCAAATCTGTAAAGAACAAAAATTGGTCCATGGTTCAATTGGGAATAAATGATAGCTTTATTAACACAGTAGATAATATCAACAAAAAATCATCAGCAGATAACACATTTGAAATGAAATACGGAAAGCTGCCTGCTGAGAATGGGAATAATACAAGAATGCATGTTCTTATTTCTTCTATTCATTGTCTCTGAGATCTTCACAAATGCAGTAAAACAAGAAAAAAATCAAATGTAATGACTGGAAAAGAAGTAAACTAACATTATTGGAGAGAGTTATCACTGTGTTGTATAGACTATAAAAAACATCTATTCAGTCTTGTTTCTCTTGTTATGGTAATTGCAAAGCTTTGAAATATTATTATTCAATATTGATAGACATGACGGATCATACCTGAATATTGCAGACAGGAATCCAATGCCTAGAGGGATTAAGCAATACACATTTATAGAAGTCTTCACTAACAAGGCTTATTTCTGTCTTGGAGTACAAAATTTTGAAAACCTTGTGACAGCAAATGGTTTCATTTAATCTTTACCACATTTGTAGGAAGAAGATACCACTAGTAGTTACCTTTTTAAAGGAGTAGAAAATAAGGCACAGAGCAATGCAATGATTTGCAATAGTTAGGACTAACATAGTTGATTTGTTGAACAGCCTAAAGCCATTTCACTAATTCATAATGACAAATGCAATCATCACAAAGATCGAAGTAATTGAGTCAGCATGAGCAGTACATTTTCTCTATACCAGAAGGTTATAGAAATCCCTTGGTGAAACAGATTCAGAACAAGGGACATTAAATTGATCAAGTGATAAACGGCATCTCATTAAACAGATTCCCTAGTTAACAATCAGAATGACATGACCAGCAGGACAGGCCATAGTCAAAGTGGATTATACCCTATGTCTATACAAGAGATAGTCTTGCTATTGGGGCTGTAAGTACCCCAAATCTTACTGCCAAAGTTTCTTCTCCCTTAGAAAAGGCTTAGATCTTTCCAGTGTTTGTCTCTGTTGCTCACGTAGATGTACTTCTGAAGATTCAGATACAGTATGTTTATCCAGTCTTAATCTTTAATCATGATCATTGCATCTTACTGGCAGAATTTGAAGTAAAATGACTTTGCATTTTAAAAGTGTAGAATGTCATTCTAATTGAAGTAAGACATATTTACTTGCATTTGCACTTTTGTTGTCATGTTTAAGCCTCTCCAGTGATGGTCATTTTAAATATAATAGCAGGCCAGTCTGGGAATCACCACACCCTACATCTGGATTATCCACTAGAGACTGGCAGAGCCTGAATAGAATTGGATGTATTGTTTTTCGCGAAGGAAAAACTATTACAACACTTAGAACATGACACTTGGGACCTGGCTACAGCACATATTCGATTAATTAATGACTTAACCCATTGGAGTTGGTTACAACTGAAGAAATGAATTCCTGATTAAGACTTATTCTGAAATCCTCATTCTCCCTTTCTGACCAGAATGCTGAAAGTCACCTGTTCTCCAAAGGTATGTGCCACCAAATCAAGGAAAAGCAATAGAAAGCAGCCCCAAAATGAAGAACCAGGTATCCTTACAGGAATATAGTGAACCACAAAGGGCTATGTGAAAATGCATTTGCTGCAAGCGGGAACATCAGGGTGAGACTTTTTCTTTTATTTTAAGTATAATATATAGCAAAACTCCAGCTTCTGGGCTAAGATAAAAGGAAAGGATTAGAGTACGTGGAATGTCAGATTTGCAGACATGACAAAATCTCAGTTGCAAATATTTGAGGGGAATCTTCCAAGACTAAAAGCAAAAAACCTTTCAGCTTAATGGTTATCAAAACTAGAACTCCAAATAGAACTGGAACCTAGTCAGTGAGTTGATGATGTGTCCTGGAAAACATATCCAGATATAACCGCAAACTGAGCAGGGCTTAGTTTACATGCTTGGGGGATTGGATTCCACCCATTTTTAAAAAGTTTTCTAGAAATGTCATCATTTATTTGTATAACCACTGAGTTCACTTTTATGACAAAACTCAAATATCAGCCACAGCTGCTTGAATCCAGTAAACAAGTATTGTGAAGAGAAAATAAAACTCACGACCCCAATTCACTTTACCAAAAGAAAAAATGAAGCTGAAAGCTGAGTCATGAAAGAATCTGCCTTTCCTTTTGTTCCTTAAGCAGTTAGCTACAGATAAAATATTAAATATCTCCACTCTGTTTTCACTTGTGTCTTATGTAAAGTGTAGATGTACTGAGCAGGAGAGGAATGCATACATGACTATCCCTTTACCTGCTCATTTTCTCTTGCAACTTGTGTGTAACCCTATCCAGCCCCGGCTTTCCTCTCTAGCCCGTTTTTTCCCTTTAAATATTGAACCTCTGAAAATTATCTTTGCAGAAAGGCACAGATGACAGACTGTTTCTGTGAATCTGTGTTTTTTAATTCCAGGAATGTCCTTAACCTTGACAAAATGAACTTCTAAATTGACTGAGGCCTGCCTCAGATAGTTTTTGGTTTACAGACATAATTCAAACCAAACATCTTGTGCAAAAAAAAAAAAAAAAGAATCTAAAATATATCATTGAACAAAACAACATTGTAATTAGAATATCTGCAAAATATTTGTCATCTCAGTGAATACTTTTTTTGTGAAAATGTGAAAATATTGAGGAATTAACTCATGGTTTTTTTAAAGACATTCTTGCATGTAGATTTAACTATAGAATAATAAAATTTTCTAAGAAAAAGCAAAACAGTACTAAATAAACAAATTAAAAAGATAGAACTCTATGTGGGTAGTGTGTTTAAACAGAGAATACATTATAGATTTAAATTTAAATTATAAACAGATATTTTTCTTTTTTCTGCGTAGCAGTCCTTGATATAGGTTTTTCTGAAATTGAAGCTTTAGCTATGTAAAAAATAAATACCCAGAAAAAGATCTATGGTTAAAGGCTAGAGCATTCAAGATTCAATGAACTATTAAAAGTGATTGCTTAGATTTATAAAAATATTGCAAAGTAAAATTGACAGAATTATATAATATTTTAGAAAATATATTTTATTTGGAGTTACGTAGTTAAGGTACTGGTTAGCCATCTATTACAGTGCCATTTATAAAGCATTCATTCTTTTCCCCAGTGATTTTATGTGTCTCGTATCATATACCAAATTCTTCCTCAAATAGTTTCTAGATTTCTGTTTTAAACCATTGTATTTCTTGTCTATTTCTGAGCAAATAATATCAAGTAAGTAAAGTCTTTTCTCATTTTTTATTTTAAGAGTACTTTTGAATAGTTTATAGTTACGCTAGATAACTGTATGATAATGTCATAAAGGCTTAATGAAAACAAAACACGCAAAACGTCTCATTTCTAATCTGATTAGAAAAACATTACATGTATTGGCATCTTGGGAATATTTAATCTCATTTAAGCACATGGGATACATCTCTAATAATGCAATCTCTACTTGAAGAGTTTTATCTTCCCATATTTTTTCCAAAATATTTCTTGCAAGTTTAGCATTAATTTTTAAATTGTTTAATTATCTTACTATCATGAATAGAATCATTAGGCTTATCGTTTCTAACTCATCACTTTGGCTTATGTATTTGGCTGTATTTTTTTTAGAAAATGAGAAGAACAATAGCACAGAGCTGGTTTTTGTAGAACTGGAGAGAGACGTTGTGATGATTTAAATATATTCATCTTAAAAATGAATAATTAAAATATGGATATTTATTTGCCCATGGTTACATACATACCTAAAATCAGAGGATCATCATCATTTGCCCCTACAATTTTTGTAAAATAAATAAAATATAACTTCAGAATTATGTCTGAATGCATAAATGAATTGTTAATACCTAACTACTTCCTAATTTTAAAAATGCTTTAATCATGTGCGTTTCCATTCAAGTGTATTCAATATATTTTAAGCAAACCTTGGTAATCAAGAAAATCTTAGGATATTTATTTCTAGTTTTGTTAGTCTGAGGCTTTTATAAAATGTGAAGATTTGTTACTATATCAATTTTGGTAAAAGAGAGATGCATGACCAGAGGGTGGAGAACTGAAAAGCCAGAAAGGCAACAAATTCCTTTGGCTTGATGAGAGGCCACCACTTCCTCAGCACAAACGATGAGCTGCTGGCAAGTGTCATCATGAAACATGCCAATGCCTCCCGGGGCCTGAAACTACAGACATCTTCATCTGGCTTTCGGTGGAATTTTGAATAGACCATTGCAGGACAATTTGTTACAGTCCTTGTGTTTCCTTTTTATTGTTAATACGGTTGTTACATTTACAGAGAAAAAGAGCTTTTATATAACATAAAGCACTTTTTTGTGTGTTACTTTCAACTAATGTTCTGTTTGTTTTGAAGACAATTCATCTTAAATTGATATAGAGAGCCTAGAGTACAAATAAAAGTATAATTTTGTCCAATTGCCAATTAATCAGGAGTTAAAAGCCCTTGAGCAGCGAATGGGCCAGACCCTGCAGTCAGAGGAAAACAGGGACCCTTCTGTGTCATATAAATGAAGACCTTTTCCACTGAAGGGAAAAACTCATAAAAAATGAATAGGCATTATTGTCACATTATCCACATCATTTAATTTTGTCTTCTCTCTTATAAAATTTGCCACAGAACAAATGGATGACATTGGATGTATGTGTACTACTACTGGTGACTTAACTATCAGCATGATTTAGGGATTCCTCTACAGCTGGGCGTATCTTTTCCTTTGATGCTTTGAAAATTAAGGCAGAGTCGATCACCTCTCCTCAGTCATAATCATTTGCATTTTAGTCTTCTCTCATTGTGGGGCCTTAAATTTAGCAAGGATGTTATTTCCCAGTTCAAGGAGAAACAGTCCCTGTCAGAATGCAGTTGTACATTTGCATAGAAATAAGTTGATTTTAACAACTGTTCACAAGCACAACAAAAACTTTGGGCAAAGTGAGATGTCATCTTTTACTATGGTATGAATGTGACCACAATCTTTTTATAGTTGCAAATGTAATTTATATTCTTCCTTAAACAGACAAGTTAAGTCTCTTGTCTGTCATTACACTCTGTTATATAATCAAGAATAGTCTTATCTTTCCAGTGTCATATAGGCTACAGTGGCTTCCCTTATCTTTTCAGCACTTGAAGAATATTGGTGAGTTTAATAATTTTTGAAAAAAGTCCTAAACGATGGCATAAACATAGAAGGACTGATATACATACCATTGTACTTCATTTTCAGGTAGCATCCTACAGATAATGTTGCTATCAGTATGTGCAGGGAGAATTTAAAAGGCCCACAAAGATGACAGGCAGTTGTGTCCAGTTGCATACAAATGAAAACTGATTTTACTTTGTCTCTAAACTCATAATGACAGTCACCCTTCTCTTCCTCTCCAAGGTTTACCTACAGTGAACCATGGAGTTCTCTAGTGGTTATGGGCCATGTTGTTCTCCCTGCTACTGTTTGGCCCCAGCTTCTTTGCATCCATTAAATTTGGGTTCTTATGAAAGCTGACAATGTGTCTTGCCTTGTAGCATTCTGGGGCTTCTTTTGGCTACCCTGTCTAAAGTAATTTTATTTTACCTGCAGTACGGCAGCTGTTTATGTATTCTTTACTCACCCATCCTGCACACATTAGCACACATTCTGTACTCAAGGGAATAAAAAGGTGACTCACTGCTAATAGAATTCTGGGAATTCATTTGTAGAGAGTCTACCTGAAGCTTAAAACTTATTAGAACTGTGGCCAGGCATGGTGGCTCATGCCTGTAATCCCAGTGCTTTGGGAAGCCAAGGCATCAGGATTGCTTGAAACCAGGAGTTCGAGACCAACTTGGGCAACACAGCTAGATCCTGTTTCTACAAAAGAATAAAAAATTAGCTGGCCATGGTGATACATGCTTGTAGTCCCAGCTACTTGGGAGGCTGAGTCAGGAGCATTGCTTTAGCCCAGGAGATCAAAGCTGCAAAGATCATGCCACTGCACTCCGGACTGAGTGACAGAGTGAGACCAGGCCTCGGAAAAAAAAAAAAAAAAAAAAAAAAAAAAAAATATATATATATATATATATATATATATATATATATATGAGCCTTATATATATATATATATATAAAGCCTTATTTAGGGCTTAAAAAACACTTCTATGTTATCCTAATTTTTGCCATCATCATCCTCATTATCATCAACATCACAGACACCAATGGAGCAATTGCTTTTTAGGGGGAAGGCACTGAACTAAGGCATTACCAGAATCAGCTCATACCATAATCTTCCTTATGAAAAAATATAAAAAGTGAGAGAGGTATGATGAGGAAATTCATAATTAGAACACTTAAGTGTCTTTCTTGGAGTTATAAAAATGGGTAAGCATGTGAGTCAAAACTACGGAAGACTGGTAAGTGACCTTTTAGAGTTGTTAGAAATACAAATAAAAAATTACTAATGGAACCAAATATTTCACTTCACTACATCACAATTTTCTTTTTTTAAGGTGCATATAATGGTAATATTTTCTTCATGGGTTTGTAAAAGACAAAAGAATTCATATATTTAATATGTTTATAATATTTCCTGGTACATAGTAAATAATAAACATTTAGTAATTGTTGGGTTTTTTGCTCATTTAGTTGAAAGGTCAGAGCTACAATGATACAGTTATCTTTGAGATATCTAAAAAACACTAATCATAATTTGCTCTAAGTAATATATTTTAAGTGGTATTAATTACTAATTACTTTTCACTAATTTACTAGTTTGGTAGATACTTTTGAGTGCCTATGATAAAGACTTAAAGCTTAAGTACAGATTTTTTTCTAAAAAATGTATTTGCTCTATATTTCCCCGTATGATGTGGCTTATTTTCACTGTAATTAACCCCATTGTATCTGGAGAATTGTGTGTAATTTTGATAATATCTCGTTAAGTAAGTGTTACACTGGTCATATCAGCAACAATTGTCACCTTACAAGAAAGGTTAAAAGACTGTTGAAAACTTTGTATAATTATCAGTCATCAGCAGGACTTAAATTATTTAGGATCTAAAATATCTTTATTTTAGAAAAGTGCATGACTGAAATAATCTGAGTTTCTACCATTCTGATTTATTTTGTTGGAAACAAAGAATGAACCACATGTGAGTGAATGTGAATGGAGAATAACTTTAAGTTGTATTAGAATGTAGAGGAGCTTCACGTTTCCTTGTAAATCCCAGTTCTGCTGACAGCATCAAACACTTTGGTAAATAATATTGAACCAAATGTCTGTTTATGTGGAATGAAAAAGTATAATACCACAAAGAGAGATCATAAAAATAGAGGACATTTTTAATGAGTAAGTGTAGTGCTCTCTAATGGACAAAAAAATCATTCCAACAATTTGACTGTGATAGATGCCTTTTCTTTAGAGTACCAGCAATGAAATGCTAGACAGTAATTCCTCCAGAATTATTTCTATTAAAAATAATATAGTAATATTAATTAAAACATTCACAGTGATCTTCCTTGCTAACCACTGTTTATTTTTAAAAACTACTTACATATTAATCTTCATACTGTGGGCAAGTAATTTTTTGAGAAAAATACTGCCATCCTTAAATTGATGAATAATTTTTCCATTGCCTTTTTGTGTTTAACTCAGTAGGTTCATATTTTAGATTCCCAAATGAAATTAGTCTAAACAATATAAAGAGAAATTTCAATGGTTTTGAACCATCATTTTCTGTTTAAATATTGCCTCTTTCTTCTGAAACTCCAATATGATGGATATTAGACATTTTAAGTAATCATGACCTGGTTTCCTCTTTTTTCTCACTCTGCCCCCATACTGCATTCTGCTTAATTTCTTCAGATACAACTTTACGTTCAATAATTCCCTCTTCAGTTTCATCTTCTGTTTAATCTTCCCACTGAGGCTTTTTAAAAATTCTTAAACAATTATACTTTTCATTTTTGGAAGTTCTATTTTTTTGTTGTTGTTGTTTGTTTTTGAGATGGAGACTCACTCTGTCACCCAGGCTGGAGTGCAATGGTGCGATCTCAGTTCGCTGCAGCCTCCAGCTCCCGGGTTCAAGCAATTCTCCTCCCTCAGCCTTCCAAGTAGCTGGGATTGCAGGCACACGCCACCACGCCCGGCTAACTTTTTGTATTTTTAATAGAGACGGAGGTTTACCATGTTGCCCAGGCTGATCTCAAACTCCTGAGCTCCTACCTTGGCCTCCCAAAGTGCTACCGCACCCGGCCTGGAAGTTCTATTTTATATATGTATACATATATATTCATATACACACATATATGTGGGTGTGTATATATATGTATGTATACATATACCAACATATATGTGTGTATATATATGTATGTATACATATACACATATATGTATACATATATATGTGTGTATATATATTTATATATTTTTTAGTTATATATTTTATATATATCTATATATCTATATCTATATGTATATTTATATCTATATCTATATCTATATCTGCCTGGTCTGTTCTTTCTTGATAATCTCTAAATGCTACCTCACATTTCTTTAATCATGTTATGCATAATTATTCTATATTGCAATTCTCCAGTGTCTAGCTAACAGTTTGATCCCCAAAATTTCTTTGTGGGCCTGCTCAGCTGTTTATTGTTTGTGCTGATGTTCAGTCTTGTGACTTGCCTGCCATGTTTTTGGTGATACTTGTGAACTCATATCTGCTGATTCTCCATCTATGTGCTCTTGAGTTGCTATATTGGGCATGTTGTTTCCAGAAAAGTTGCATGTCCACTCTTGCTAGAGGTTGGGGTACTTCAAGTCAGCATGTTTGAAGGAAGAAAACGGCAGCTCTTTATCCTTCTTCAAGCCATAGCATGATGTAAACTCTCAAGTTTAGTTCCCATACCTTGCTCCACTGGCCCAAGGTTCAGTTTTGAATTGGAACATCATAAGGAGCATTTGCTGTCAGGCAAACTTTATTCTCCACCTTCCTTGTTTCTCACCACCACCAAATCCAGGTTTGGCTTATAGTTTGTTTCCTATTTTATGTATCTTTTGGAGGAGGCAGGCCAAGATCATTGGAGATATTTCTAATACCTATCTGTGTTTAAGCATGAGGACAAATGAAGAGTATTCTGTTTCCATTCGTTAGGCAGCAAAATCCATTTATAATACCACACCTATTGGCTTAAATGCAGAAGACCAAGACCCCTGTGGACCATTGAGCCCTAGATGAATGACTGCACTGAAAAAGACTAATTTCTTTATGCATTTCCTTGCCTGGTCCTCTTTCTCTATGCTCCATCCATCCATGTTCCTGTGGCTGATATTGTGGAAAACTTAACAGTACACTGTGGACTAACAGAAATGGGTTCTGCAATGATCATTATAAAGCAACATTTCTATATTGGCCACTTTCCACTGGCCCACCTTCCATTAGAATTAGGTTTCCAAAAGAGTCTAAGCTAACTGTGCTGACAACTGTCATAATACCACAGTATCAGTTTATAGTTCACATAAACCCCATTATCTACTCAGGAAATTACAAGTTGCCTGTTTCTTCTTGAAGCAGAGAAATACTTGAACTTTTGTTTAGATTATGCTCTGCTTCAATCAAGATAGATGAAATAGCATATATAAGGCAAGAATGAAGGAAAGTGTCTAGATTTCTAATGCACCGATTTGGGAAAATTAAACTTAAATTTAATGACAATGTCATATTGATTGCATTTACAATAATATACATACTAATTTTAGTTTTTTTTTCTATTTTTCTGAGTTTTTTTTTTTTGCAGTTCCATGTTGGGAAAAAAAACAAAAAAAAAAAATGAAAAGGA
Source organism: Homo sapiens (assembly GCF_000001405.40). Taxonomy (NCBI): domain Eukaryota; kingdom Metazoa; phylum Chordata; class Mammalia; order Primates; family Hominidae; genus Homo; species Homo sapiens. Next base: position 16,256,974 of record NC_000008.11, on the reverse strand, counting down.
AGACCCATTGAAAATTATCTAAGGGAAAGTCAATTATTTACAAGCTTCTCTGGAGATTTTTGGAATCCTCTTTCCTCTTTAATTTTCCAAACTTCTGAAGATATTAGTTTTGCAACATACATTGTGTCTTGGTAAAATAAACAGCTTAATAAAAATACATGATATATTTCTCTAAGGGATGGAAGTAAATAGCATATAAGTTGAATCTATCTGATGGTAAAATAAATATGTAATGCCTCTTAGAATATTAAGGAAATTAAAAAATATATTGTTTGTAGTCATCCATCACATAGTATTGAGTTAGTGAAAAAATGGAAGACCACCTCTGAATAAGTTTATGCTCTTTTAAAACAATATCCATGATACAGAATGGTCACATACAATATCTTGTCTCAAATAGTCTTCCAGTGTCAAAACTCAGAGACAGCTTTTCAGGTGTATATTTATATTCCCATTGGACATTTGTCATAATGTCTTTGACTCAACACACAGAATTTCTTTTTACTCTCTATAAGACTAAAAGGCACAACTGAGAAAATAATATAGCTTAATTTTTTTCCCTAGGGAATTTGGTGCCTCCAACCAAGTTAACATATCTTTCAATCACTTGTGATATTGCAGAATAATGGCAACTACCATGGAAAGATGAAATACATATGGTGCTGTAAAAACCAGGAGAGCCCAAGGGCATTTTGCTCTTGCCATTCCTGAGGAGTTTATTGCCTACAGATGTACGTGTACATTTTATCACATAGATGGAATTTCACGCAATTGAAATGTGTGATATATAACATGCAGAGGGTTTATACAAAGAAAATCATGAAAGATGCTTGAGAAACCTGAAAATTGATACATCAGGTAAGAAATAAAATGGCAAAGGAAACTAAGAAATGTAGGCCAGAATTGTTGATTGGAAGCATGGAGAATATAGTGTCACAGAAGCCAAGGAAAGTGTTAGAAGTGGTAAACTGTGTGAAATATTCTAAAACTATCAATAGAATAAGGCTGGAAACTCTAGAATGGGGATTGTCTGTATGTAGCTCATTGGTGACCTTAACCAGCAACCTTTATATGTGAGTGGTGTAAACAGAAGTCAGACTGACTGCAGAGTAAAATGGAGGTGGGCAAATAGATAGCATGCCTATGGATGCAACAATTTCCATTGGCATTTTCAAGTGTTCTTCTTTGATCCTGTTTTATTTGCCCTGATAGCATTTATCACCACAATCAAAGAGGAGCAATAAAAAATGCCAATGGAGACTGGGGAAATGCCTCACTGAGAAAGTGGCTTTTGAGTAAAGACCTGAAGGAAACAAGAGTGCTGTCTTGTGGGTATTGGTGAAGAGCATCTTAGATGGAGGAAAGTTTGTGTACAAAGACCCTGAAGAGGGAATGTGTCTGATTTTTCTACCAACAGTTAGGAAGCTAATGTGGCTGGATAGAAAGAAAAGTAAAATCAGATCAGATAGACAATGAGGTGCAGAACACGCACATTCTGGTGGGCTGTGGTGGAGAATTTACCTTTTACTCTGAGACAGGAAGACACGAGAGGATTTTGAGTAGAGGAGTGACATGCAAAGACTTACCTTTTAACACAGTTACTGTGACTGAGGTGTTATGAATACTCTTGAGAGACAAGAGCGGAAGTCGGGAGCTTATTTTAAAAAATGAAGAGAGGGAACACTGGGCTGGGATCAGAGTGGTGCCTGTTGGGTTAGTGAGGGGTGTTAGAATTGTGAATTTAAGATAGAGCTTACAGGACTTGCTGATGGAATAAGTGGGGCTTTTGAAGGGAAAGAGGGAGCCAAAGGTGGCTACGAAGTTCTTAGCATCAGAAATAGAAAAAATTGAATTGCCATTATTAAGAGATGGACAGTAGAGAGTAGAGCAGTTTCTGAAAAGGAATGGGAATATCTGTTAAATTGAAGATGCCTGTTAGACATCCATGTAGATATATCAACTATCATAGACGATTATTGGATATATGGTACTGAAGTTCGGGAGGACATGTGGACTTGAGATACAAATGTAGGAATACTCAGGTTCTAGATGATATTTAAAGCAATGAGATTAAATGGAATACCTAGGGAGTAAGTGTGGATAGAAAAGGAAAGAGGTCAGTAGTTTAGATCATAGTTATACCGAATGTAAAGGCTGACACATGATTAGTAAAATAGCAAAGGCGTCTCAATATGAATAACCAGAAAGGTAGGAGGAAAGCCAGGTGATATGGTGTCTTGTGAAGGAAGTGTCTCAAAAAGGGTAAAAATCAGCTCTGTCAAATGCTACTACATTAAATAAGATAGCAACTGCAAAATGACAGAAGCTATAGTGACACGGACTTGAGAAGAGCAACTCCCAAGAAAATGCAAATTAAAGCCAAATGGTGTTTTTAACAAAGAACTTCTTTTGATTTTTGATTTTTAAAATCTGTCACCATCAAGCATTCCAAACATGTAAAAAACAACATATAAAACTGTGCACTGTTGATAGGAATAAAAATAAACTCCTAAGAAAACTATTCTGGATTATTTTACAAATATGAAGATGGGCATATACTATCACTCTGCAAGCCATATCTAGTTATATACTGTAAGGAAATATTTGCACTTCAAATACAGGAATGTTTGTAGTTGCCTCTGTGAATAATAGTTCCAAACTGGAAATAATCCAAATGCTCATTAAGAGTAGAATGGATAAATTAATTGGTGGCAAATTTCTACAATGAAATAACAATCAGCACACAATGAATGAAGTACAGTTATAAGAAGCAATATAGATGATTCTTAGGGTCGTAATATTGAGGAAGAAAAGCAAATCTCATAGAAGTCTTAGAATAGTTCCTATTTAGATGTGATTAATAAACTTCACAAACTAAACAACAGAAACATTCAGGTTACAAATGTATGTTGCAAAATTATAAATTAAAGCAATAAAATTGTAAACATCAAATTCATGATAGGGGTCCCTTCAAGGGAACAGAAAATTTATTGGTTTTAGGGAAGCACAATAGAAGACTTCCTAAATAGTGAGCATATACGTATTTATTACTATCGTACCTCACATTCTCTTTATATGTTACAAATATCAGTGTGTATCTACTCAATAGTTAATAAAAAATAAGTCTTTAGCAATCTATTAAATTATATTAATAGATTGCTATTATATTAATTTATATTATGGTATAGATCAATTCCACATGTTATATAATCTCATAGTTTCATGTAGCTCTTTTTTGTCACGTTTATAAGGTTTTAATTTTACATTTATCTATGCAAATCTTTTATTACTATCTGCTACCATTTTAGGGAATACACTTCATAGAGTTTGAAATACACTTCATAAAGTATGAAATTACACTTCACAGAGTATGAAATAATTCAAAGCTATGCTTCTTGTCCACCCCCTTTTATAACATTTTAGTATACTTTTAATGAATATCATTCTATGTATGTATACGTAATAAACGAATGAATGAAAGAAAATACTAGCTCGTAGAATGCACTCATCTTAAAATTCCTTGTTTTTGACTCTAGTATTTTAGCACTTACAAATTAAATTGGTTGCCACATTTGAATATGATCTTCATTTTCCCATCACCTCATTGTAGTTTTAAGTTTGTGTAGAGGTTTTTATAGACCCTGCCGAGCAGAGCAATATAATATCCACCCACTCACTCACTAATGTAGCTATTCTTTGGCAAGTAAACATGATGCGGTGGTTCAGATTAGGGGTGCTTGTGGTTCAGATTAGGGGTGCCTGTGATTCAGCAGAAGACCATGTAGACAATGGCCCTAATTTAGTGGATATTTTAATCCAGACAAGTAAATGAATGAGAAAAGTTCATTTAGTGTTAAGTATGACCAAAAAAAAGTAAGCAAAGCAATGAGATAGAAAGAGCCTGAGAACTGAGGGGGCAGGAAGGCTTCTGGGTGGTCAGAGAGTCCTCATGTTTGAGAGGGTCTTGAATAAGAAAAAGAAAGGGGTCATGCAAAGTCCTGGAAGAACTGTAATTCACACAGAAATAATACAAAGAACTGTGGCAAATATCAGCTTGACTAATTCAAGGAACAGAAAAAGACCACAATAGCTAGAACAGTCTTAGCGACAACAGTCAAGGTAAGGAAAGCACAAACAAAATGGATCACGTAGGTTTTATAGACGTGGTTGAATATTGGATATAAATTCCAATTACAATAAGATGCCACTGAGGAATTTTAAGTAGGAAAATGATATGTGCAGAAGGAACTATATGGGCACAAGAGGGGAAAGGAGAACTATAGTTACATATTTGGAAATGCATATCAGTTAGAATGGCAAGTCCTGTTTTGTTAGGATTTACCATGACATATCATGTTGTCCCAGAAAAAATATTTCCTATGTTGGATAGTACATTTCCTTGTCTTTCTAATATCTGTTCACATATTGGCAAAACTTTCTAAAATATTTTCCTTTCATTTTATTTTGCAAAAGATAGAGAATAATTTTCTTTAGAATGATTTAGGCATCACTCCCCCTGGATCTAACAGGGTACTTTTGTGCTAGACTTCTATCTCAATTCGACTCCAGTGTTAAGATTGTGTGAATTATGTTATTTCACATTAGCTTGAGACTTATGAGACAATTCTAAACCTGCTTCAAGAAATTATCCAAATGCATGATAAATCATCTTTTTTATTATCCTCACAGTTGCTGCTGGACTGTTTAGCTAGGAAAGAAGTATCAGACCCTTTTATTAGCTTGGACAAAAGTGGAAAAGCAATAAAATGCCAAGAAAAGTGCCACAGAGGGACAATAAAGTTGTGATAAAAATGAGTTGGACTTTGTTACTCGTATCTGCTGTTTGGCATCCAGTGCTTAGAAAACAGCCAAGGGTCTTATATTATAGACAATAAATTATTCAAAACCAGTGGGTTGTAAAACTTAAGCACTGAAGTCCTAAGTATTCTTTCTTCCCTCTCTTTCTCTTTGCTACTTTCTTTCTATACTTGAAACCTAGGGCTTAAACTATGTAAAATGGAATGTGAAAAGGAAAAGTAAATAAAATAGGAAGCAACTTACTTCCACCAGAGGAGCAAAAGGCAACAAAACTGCTTTCATTAAAATCTATAGTATTTACAAATCTCTGAAATCCAATCCAACTGAAATGCTCTAGGAACCAAACCACACACGTGTTCTTGGCAATTTTAGATATTTTGCTGTTTACATATCTACTGCAATCACAGTAAAATTACTTGCTTTTGAGTTTCTAATATTTTAATTTTACTGTTGTAAAGAGTCTAAAATAGAAAACTTATTGGTATCAGGTCTGAAACACAAAGTATATGGAAATTAACTGTGACCATAATTGTAAACCAAAGGAACCAAATGTAAATATCGCACTCAGCTGTACATCCTACAAATAACTCTTGGGTTTTACCTGGACATAATTGTTCCACTCCCACTTCAACCCATTGGCATCATTATTTTTTCTCTTAGGAAGGCACCTTTTTTTTTTTTTTTTTTTTTGAGACGGAGCCTCGCTCTGTCGCCCAGCCTGGAGTGCAGTCGCGCGATCTCGGCTCACTGCAAGTTCCGCCTCCTGGGTTCACACCATTCTGCTGCCTCAGCCTCCCGAGTAGCTGGGACTACAGGCGCCCGCCACCACGCCCGGCTAATTTTTTGTATTTTTTGTAGAGACGGGGTTTCACCGTGTTAGCCAGGATGATCTCGATCTCCTGACCTCGTGATCCGCCCGCCTCGGCATCCCAGACTGCTGGGATTACAGGCGTGAGCCACCGCGCCTGGCCGGGAAGGCACCTTTTAGGGACTCTGATGTAGGTGCCGTGATGGTTTCACCATTCGGAAAATGGTTGATTCTAGACAATTATTTTTGGAGAAGTCCACCTGAGGTGGAAATTATCTTTCTAAAACAATTTCTCAGTTAAATTATTACTATTATTTTACAAGTTTTAATAATATCTAGTTGCCCACGTGGTATTATCTTAATGTTATATGTTATAAAAATGTCATTTCACACACCAGTGATTCTTTTAACTTCCACACTAGCCCCGCAATCAACCCTAAGTTTAATCACATGCATTTTGCATACTTCAGAGTTTTGCTCATTTTATTTCTCTTCTAAAGCTTTTTAAGACAACATTAAGTGACCTCTTTTCTTTGAAGACTTCCATGACTTCAGACCCCAGGGAAAAATGAACTTCTCTCCCATCATTTCCCATAGCACCAATATTAGGGGAGGTGGCACTAGTGGCCATAGTCATACGCACCAAGCACAGTATCTGGGCTAGTGGTATGATAGGGTTTGGTTCTGTGTCCCCACCCAAATCTCATCCTGTAGCTGCCATAATTCCTACATGTTGTAGGAGGGACCGGGTGGGAGATGACTGAATCATGGGGGCGGGTCTTTCCCCTGCTGTTCTTGTGACAGTGAATGGGTCTCATGAGATCTGATGGTTTGAAAAACGGTAATTTCTCTGCAGAAGCCCTCTCTTTGCCTGCTGCCATCCACGTAAGATGTGACTTGCTCCTCTTTGCCTTCTGCCATGATTGTGAGGCCTCACCAGCCATGTGGAACAGTAAGTCCAATGAATCTCTTTCTTTTGTAAATTGCCCAGTCTCGGGTATGTCTTTATCAGCAGCATGAAAACAGACTAATACATGGTATCAGCCTTGTGATAGCAATCCTCAGCCCCACACTGTGTGAAGCAGATATTGTTTCTACCACCATACAGTGAAAGAAATGGACACCCAGAAAGGCAATGTGCGTTCCAAAAGTTAAAAGCTCTATTAAGCGGGGCAGCTATGAGTCACCATCACTTTTGACATATTCTGCACCCTGTGCAGCTTTTTTATGCAGTTTCATCTGATTACGTTTTATTAAGATCATTTTTCTCCAGTCGCCTTAGTAGGCTCATTGATTGTTTATGAGTGCAAAGAAAGATATTCATATCTTTACATTTGAAATATTTAAAGTTCTAAATTATCTCTCACGCCCAGACTGGGTTCAGCCCGAGGCCCTGCAGACAGCTCCACGAGCATCACCCTCATCCTGGTCAGGCTAAAGCTAAAAGTGCAACTTCTACCACCTCTCATCTCCCTCTAGCCCTGCAGCCTGTAAGCCTCAAGGGTACCCATTATTGGCTGGGGCAGAGTAGAATAAAGGTGGCCTGGGCCTAGGGTGAGAACTGACTGAACCAGGATGTGGGGCTGGGAGCCAGGTCTTTTTCCATCCTTCCAACTTCCCTTTTTAAACAGGTTTTCCAGGCAATTCTAAATGCCTCCCAAACAACTGCCACCGGGCCTGAGGGGAGGGCAGAAACAGGATGATCTTGGGAGATGGCCGGCTTAGATACCTGCACTGGGGAATTTGGGGTGGTTGGATGTAAAAGACATCGTCATCCTCTCTCTGGCCACTCTTAACACCTCCCCACTCATCTTCATTTTCCTCACCCAGTGCCCCCCATCCTACTGCCGGGGGAGGTACACTTCTGCTCTCCGGCATTTTCTTTTGGTTCAATAGGTTGCTAAATGGTTCCATAACTTTCTCACAAGACCATCTTTTAAAGTCCTTATGTTTCAAAGCTTGTGAACTTTATAAGGCTTGGGACACAGGAGGCGAGCCCCTGGTGACCGGGTCTGGAGGTGTCACTAACCTTAGCTAGATGCGGACTATAGGGACTGGGTTTTAGTCATCTTTTTAGTGGCTGAATGATTGTTAAATAAATTTTAATGAGATAAATTATGCTTTCTATTTTAATCATTATTAACAGAGAAGTTGTTTTATCCCCAGGGACACATAGAGAGCAGACTCATAATTTCAGAGACGTGTAATAGTCACTTAAAAATTCACATGCTGCTCCCTCTGACTCATAGGTCTTGTACATTGCTGTTGTATTTTGGTCATGTTCTTCCTGTTTTTTGTTTTTATTTTCTTTGGTATATTTTTGCCAACAGGAGAGTTAATTGGCATTGCTCACTTGACTTCTCCACATTACCAAAGATGTCCTGGTACTTATGCAATGTATATAGAGATAGGCTTGATACACTTAAAAATACTACTCATTCTTAAACATACAATTCCATAGATTGTTCGTAAAACCACTTGCTATCAAGGAATTCATTCATTTAGTGATTTTACAAATACTGAGCACCTGTTCTATGCTAACCACTGAACGTGGAGCAGTGAATAAAACACTGTTCTAATTGATGTCCATTCCCCACCCCCTTACAATCCATTCTCCTCAGAACATGAAAGACGATATCTTAAAAACATAAATCAGAGAATATTATTCCCATGTTTAAACTCTCCAATGCCTTTCTAATACATTAATCTAGGCTCTTGGCCCATACCTTCTAGGCTCTTCCTGATCTCTTGTCTCTTTTTTTTTTTTTTTTTAAGACAGGGTCTCACTCTGTCACCCAGGCTGGAGTGCAGTGGAACCATCGTGGCTCACTGCAGCCTCTGCTTCCTGAGCTCAAGTGATCCTCCCACCTCAACCTCCCGAGTAGCTGGGACTAAAGGGGGTCACCACCATGCCTGGCTAATGTTTGTATTTTTTGTACAGGTGGGGTCTGGCCATGTTTCCCAGGCTGGTCTCAAACTCCTGGGCTCAATTGAGCCTCCTGCCTTGGTGGTAACACACCTTATGTTCTGCATAGCAATCATATGTATATGAAAGTCTCTTAAAAATGATTTTGTATGAATGCCTTGTAGTCTCTTCTACGGATAACTTATTTGTAAGTTCAAACAAGGAAATCTTTGGCAGTGGTGTGGAGTTAAGCAAAAAATTGCATTTTCTGAATCAATAAATGTTGAGTTGATATTATCCCATTGAGATGAGATTAAGGACACCTTTTACCAAAAATATGCTATGACTCCACAGCCATAATTTCATGAAATGACTGTATTAGTCCATTTTCACACTGCTATAAAGAACTGCCCAAGATTGGGTAATTTATAAAGGAAAGAGGTTTAATTGACTCACAGTTGAGCATGGCTGGGGAGGCCTTGGGAAACTTACAATCATGGCGGAAAGCAAAGGGGAAGCAAAGCACCTTCTTCACAGGCGACAGGCAGTAGAATGAACCCAGGAGGAACTACCACACACTTATAAAACCGTCAGACCTTGTGAGAACTCACTCAATATCACAATAACAGCATGGGGGAAACCACCCGTATGATTCAGTTACCTCCACCTGGTCTCTCCCTTGACATGTGGGAATTATGGAAATAAACAATTCAAGGTGAGATTTTGGGTGGGGACACAGCCAAACCCTATCAATGACACTTTATATAGTTCAATGATTTCAGCTTTGTTTTTCCCATTTCAGTTACTCTGAATATGGGGTTCCTTTTATCCTTTTAGTTGAGGTGTTTTGTTGTCTTTGACTTGAGCTAGTAAATGCTTGTTTCATAATTACTTGAGGATGTGTGTGTGTGTGTGTGTGTGTCAATGGACATTTAAAAAATTATCTAATGTGCAACTCAATGTGTATTTGAAATGCCATTATCTAACTTCAAAAATGCAGAGAAGCCTGCTGAAGATCTCTGGTATCCACTTAATGCTATCTGTTGTGGTTTATTAAGGAGATATATCCTGAGGGGAGGTAGTGGAAATACTCAAAGGCACCTATGTGCTAAGATTGTAAAAGCGACAACAGTTTTACTAGTTTCCTCGGGAAGATATTACATTTTGGAGTTAGTTGCCCTTGGTTATGTACTTTTTTTCTTTATGTTTGTAATCTTCAGCTTATAGAACGCTATTTTTTTTCTCAAAATGCTTTGCCTATTTGTAAGGAATTAGTTACAGATAATCCATATCTTCCTATCTAATTGTGTTTGTAACCTTTTTTTCTTGGATAGTGGACTTTATATTTTAGAGAATTGCATAAAAAGTAAAATAATATATCTAAAAAAATCAAAATGTTTGGTAGATTATTTCTGAAAACTGATTATGCTTCAGAACTGGTGGAAAGTTTTGGGGGGAGGGGTTCGTTTGCCTTTTAAAAAAAACTCTATATCCTTTAAAATTTCAAGGTAAATTTTTATATTGGCTGTATTAATATGCTAGGGCTGTCAAAATGAGTTACCACAATCTGAGTTACTTATATAACAAAAATTTATTGTCTCACAGTGCTACAGGCTAGAAGTCAAAAATCAAGATGTTGGCAGGGTTGTTTCCTTCTGAGGGCTGAGGGAAGGAAGGATCTGTTCCAGACCCTTCTCCTTGTCTTGTAGATAGGCGTCTTCTCTCTGTGTCTTCTCATCTCCCTACTATGTGTGTCTGTCTCCAAATTGTCGCTTTGTATAAAGATGCCAGTTATATCAGATTAGAGGTCACCCTACTAACCTCATTTCAACTTGCTAACCTCTGTAAAGACCCTATGTCCAAATAAGGTCACATTCTGAGTTACTAGGAGTTATGACAACTCAACCCACAACATTGGCTTATTACAAAATTCTAATTTTTCACATCAACTCTTTTTAAAAATGATTAACGTGTTCATGCTATTTTGAATATATTTCAAATTAATTCATGTTTTATTTCCTACGTAGTCTCAATATGGAAATAGGAACAAAATTCCTGCTTGACACACTGATTTTTCTCTATGGTCTTGTTTAGGAAGAAGGTTCTCTGAAATAAAAAGCTATCTGATGTGAGAAGATGAGTCAGGGAGACATTAAGTTGTCCTTTTCTTTGCTCAAGTAGTTTCACCTCATTGCCCTTTATCTCTTTCTGTAGGTATTTTATTTGTTTTCATATAATGTCTTTCCTAATTACATGAGTTATAAAAATTTATTTATTAACTAAATCTCATAAAATTTTCTTATCAGTGACAATGTCAATGTGTGAAGATCTGACATCACATTCCTTTAAAAATCAATTCACAGGGTTATGTTTTGTCTTCTTAATCACAAACCAAGAAAAGTTCTTCAGTTTATTAGAAGGCAGAGCCATCAGCTTTAGATCTGGCAATTGGGATTTACCTCAAGTCATCTTACACTCCTTTTCAGGTTTTAACTATTTTCCAGAAGAACCTAATGGAAACAATTCATTATATTGTTAATATTTTATGTATTATTTATATATCATATATTATATATTTGATATGTTTTATAAAATAACATATTACATATAATATATGTTATTTTAACATATATATGTTATTCTAATATGTAACTTTTTTTCTGGAAGGTTCATCCTCCATCAACATTTAACATTCAATTTGTGATTTAAAAGCATTATTTCAGTCTCTATATTTTGTCCATTTAGGAATCTTCTCTGCTTTCTTTTCTTAGTTTATTCTCTTACATTTCAATATTTTTAATAAAAATAAATTTTATTTACAAAGGTAAAGGATAATTACTGGTGAAAATTCATCCTACAAATAAAAGAAGAAAGAAGAAAGTTAAGATTTATTTTAAACCTACAATGCAAGGCAAATATTATAAGCATTTGGGTCAACATAATTTCAGATATTAGCTACATATCCATCTACCTGTATCTCTACCTACGTATCTACAAAAATCGTAATGGTTATGAACCCTCTTTTAAAGTAACAACTAGGCTTTTTTCACTAACTATATGCCAAGAAAATGTTACATGCCAATAAGTGTACGCATACATACAACACATGTACATATGCTTATATATTTTTAAGAATCCATAATATGTATACACACATATATGTAAGGATATATATGAACACAGAGACATATATTGCCTTTTTAATGACTGGATATTTCATTTTTATTATGTTAACTAAAATATGTAATAATTATGTAATAATGTATATAATAGAGTTTAATAATAAATCATCTCTATGCCCAAAACACTCCTAAAAAATAAATTACTATTTATGATGCCCCAAATTGGGAATCAACCAAAATGTTCTTCAGCAGGTGAATGGATAAACAAACTGTGGTCACTCATACAATGGAATATTATTTCGTGATAAAAACCAATGAGCTATCAAGTCACAAAAAGACATGGGGGAACTGTAAATGCATATTGCTAAGTAAGAAAAGCCAATCTGTCTACACACTGTATTGTTTTAATTTTATGACATTCTAGAAAAGATAAAATTACGGAGAATATTTTAAAAATCAGGAGTTAGTAAGGGGTTGGAAGGAAAAGGGAGGGATAAATAAATGGAGCACAGATAATTTTTAGGGCAGTGAAATGTTTCTGTATAATATCATAATGATGGATGCATGTCATGGTACAGTGTGAAAACTCACACAAGGTACAGAATGAAACCTAATCTAAATTGTGAACTTTAATTTATAATAACGTATCAGTATTGGCTAATCATTTGTACCAAATGTACCACATAAGGCAAGATACTAACAATAGGGAGAAACTGGAATGGGAGGGTGCAGATAAGAGGCTTTAAAGGAACTCTGTACTTTCTGCTCAATATTCTGTAAATCTAAAACTGTTCTGAAAAATAATTTGTTTTGAGACAACTTCTCAGTCTTTTGCCCTGAATCCCTTCAGTTATCCCATCCTGTGCAATCAATACATGCCAGTACAGTTTTATGTCTATAAAATTTGATTTTGTGCTATACACAATTATATCCATTTTTTCATGATTTCTAGTTTTAATATTAGTAATACCTAACATTTATTAAATACTTATGTATGAGATATTGTTCTAGATAACTTTTAGTTATTAAACCATTTGATCCTCAAAACAACATTGCATGCAGCTAAAAAAAAGTTGTTTTATTATTACCAATTTTCACATAAGGAAATAGAAAGAAGTGTAGATGTCATAAGTTTATTCGTCCAGGTTACACTTGTTAGTTGAGATATGAACCACAGCAGTTGGGCTCTAAGGTCTATGTACTTCCCCTCCATTCTTTGGTGCCTAATATGGTGTGGTAGCAGAATTTTAGAAATTTGTCTCCACCTAAAATTACAAAAATATTTGTACATATTTTTTCTCTTGTCCTCACATCTTCCGTATTAAATTATTATTTGTAGTTTCTTAAATTTGTATATATTCTATTTCCACCTTATTTTGTCTTTATCTTTTGCTCTATAGAGAAAATCTTCCTCTATCCCATAATCTTTTTTTATTGAGTTAATTCTGCTTTTTACTCAAGACTCTCCCTTTTCCATAGCAGTCTGAGCTTAATGTCCCTATTATATGTTTCAGTGGCGAAAACTGCACACCTATGCCATAGGACACATAATGGTGGGGTTTAATTTTCTTTTTTCCTAATGAGCATGTATTCTCCTAATGCATATTTTGACTCTAAAATGTAAACTACTGAGGTCAGGATTATGCCTTACTTTTTGCGTCTACAGGGTCCAACAAAATTTCTGGGACGTAGTACTTGTTCAATAAATATGTGTTAACAATGAGTATGCCAGGGTTTACATTTCTATTTAAATAATTCTGCCTCTTTTTGACAAGTATTATGGGTTTTCTTGTTATTTGGTCATTTATTATCCCTGCCTCAATCAGATAATACCACCTGTTTATATTAATTTTTCTTTGTAAGATAGCAACCACCAAACCGTCAATATTCACTTAACTTCTTTTTTAGTTTAAATAAATGTGGCATGAAATATTATATAAAAATAATTAATCAAAGAGGGTTAAACAAACAAAAAAAATCAGACATAAACTTGTATTTAGTGGATGGTAAAAACTTACTGTTTTTAAGGAGGGAAAAAAATAAATTCCAAAAGCCCTGCTTTAAAGAGACTGCTGGGTTTCCTGTTCTTCTCTGGACTTTAAGATATGTCTCTTTTATCTCATTCCAAAAGTATGCACTCTGAATTTCCTAAAGAATATTGCAAATGATCTCTTCTTTAAGAAGGAAGATGAGAATCTTAATGGACACAGCTAGGTTGGTCTATTCATTATGCTTGCCTTAGAATGCTAGGCCTTGAATTAATGAGTTGAGAGATCAGTTTGGACTGGTTTTAGTCAAACATGAAATCCTTAGGAAGCTAAATAAATTCTGAGCTGATTTGAGCGTCAATGAACCAGAGAAATTTTAGACCCTGTTTTCTTATGTAACATCCTTGCAATAGATGGATCGTTTAGCATGTAGTAGCGCCAGTTATGGGTAGAACTGAAGATCTTACTACGTTCATTTAGCATCGGTAGAACCCAATCCTAGTACACTAATGACTTTGACTGTAATGGAAGCCAGACATTGGCAGAGAGAGCACAGCCAAGTTATGTACAAAAGGGACCAGGGGCATCACACACATCACCATTCACATTTGGGCCAATAAGAAAAAAATACTTAGATTGTAAGAGTTTTTTGTGCCCTAGCTCCAAGTGAGAGAACAGTGCCACCTCCTATGTTTTATTAATGGACCACATTGCCTCATTGTAATACTATTTAACCATATAGTAGGATCCATTCTTATCAATTCAGTAAATTCATATTAAATATTTATTGCTTTAAAAAATTTTTCTTACTCTCTTTTCCTGAGTCTTAGCATTGATCCCTAAATCAATGCAGAATATATTCCAGCAGTGCTTCTCTGGACACTCAACCTAGGTTTTACTAGGTCATACCAGTATGCTGGCCTTATGGGAGAGAAAAAACCAAGGCATTAAATATCCCTGTCCATTAGATCTAGGAGTATTAAAGCTGCTTCCCTCAGTAAGTATAAGATGAAGGATTCCGTGACACAGCTCAACTCTCACCTGCAAAAGTTCTGTGGTCCAAAGTACTTTTTTTTTCTCCTGAAATAGTCCTAAAGTCTGGGACACCACTGGCTTTCTCCATAAGCTTCACTTGTACGTCTCTGTTGGATCTCTTTCTTTTCTCTTTTTTTTTTTTTTTTTTTTTTTTTGAGATGAAGTCTCGCTCTGTTGCCCAGGCTGGATTGCAGTGGCAAGATCTCGGCCCGCTGCAACCTCCTTCTCCCAGGTTCAATCGATTCTCCTGTCTCAGCCTCCTGAGAAGCTGGGATTACAGGCATGTGCCACCACGCCTGGCTAATTTTTTTGTATTTTTAGTAGAGACGGGGTTTCATCCTGTTGGCCAGACTGGTCTCGAACTCCTCACCTCAAGTGACCCACCTGCCTCGGCCTCCCAAAGTGCTGGGATTACAGGCGTGAGCCATAACGCCCGCCCCAGATCTCTTTCAAGAGCCCTTCCTTCCCTTGCTAGTGGGCCCAGGTCTTTGACTCTTGGTTTCCCTCTGCAACTCATCCATCCAGATTGTTCCTTGCCACCATTGTCAAAACAATGTGGTCATGCACATTTCTGGATCTTCAGGGCACAATAATCCTGAAGTTTTTGTAACTCTTCTAAGGAGAGAGTTCTGGAAAACATGTCTATAATATGGAGACTGGGATGAAATTAAGTTAGTTTTCCTGATAGGAATCCATACAAGTCTTTAATGCTGGCTTTCTTTCCTGATCCTTTTTCCCCCAACATCAGACTTTCGTAAGGACTTATTATACCCAAGAGCCGTGCTAAGCACTCTATAGGAAAGGGTCTAATGAACTCCTTTGGAAACGCTGTGTGACCAATTTGTTAATATTTCTGTTTTAAAGATGAGGAAACTGATGCTTATAAATAGGGTGTTTCTATTTTGTTTCAAATTCTTATTCAGACTTTAAGCTTAACCCTTAAGAGGTTAAGACTTTAAAATAAAAACTTTTTTTCCAACAGGATGCTTCAGAATACCAAATTAGATGTGAAAAAATTTAAAAATATTATCGTCATAAGAGAATGATGGATCCTAGGGTATATTTTATGATGGACTTGTTTTATTTCAGCTTCTGCCTCAGCAAATACATCTCAAATACAATGAACAAACTTGAAGGTGAATTAATAAAAGTTTACTTGATTAGTATGTAGGAGAAGGGATGGGTGTAATTATTTGCCTCAACGATACATATTTAGACAAAAAGAGAGGTAAGAGGTCTGAACTTATTGACTACTCTTAATGCTTAAATTCAACCGGTATTAATCCCAGTACCTACCATCTGTTCTTCTTCCAGTCAATGCTTATCAATTAGGAGAAACTGCAGATTCAGCCCAGGAGTATTTTCATCTTAGATATGGTTGCATGATGACTGGCAGAAAATGCTATAGAGTGAGGTAAAAAGATTATGATTCTCCTCTACTTACCAAGGTGTCTCACAGTGACAAACCCAGTGATCAGGAAACCCAGACTCCCTTACCATCAGCTCACTTCTTTGTTCAATTTTGTTTGACCATTTCATAGGCTGACAGGCATCAAAACATGGACTCCCATACATCGGGAAAGTAGCTGGATCTTCCTCCAGTGTTGTAAAGGCCACTGCGGCCAAAGTTTTCAATCAGAATTACTAAGATCGACCGAGGCAGGAGGCTTACTTAAGACCAGGAGTTTGAGGCCAGCCTGGGCAACATAGAAAGACCCTGTCTCTACTAAAAATATAAAAATTAATTACTAAGATCACAGTTACTGGAAAACTTGTTCTCACTTGTCATTGAAAAGAAGTCCTTGTTATTTTAAATGCTTCTGTATCTTCTGTTGAATTTAGTGAGACTTGCCTTCTCATTTTTTCTACATTAATATAACCTAAAATAGTCCCTGATCTTGATTTTGAGTCAGTTGAAATTCAGCATTCTACAGGCAGGAAATGTGGATTGATTGTCTGACCTCATTTATTGGGAGAAACATACCGATTTGCTTAGATTTACTCATTTATTCTTAACATACACTATATTTTCTTAAAGCTAAAAAAATTATTGAACACCAATTTTGAGTCAGTTGAGAAAATAACAGAGAAAATCATGCTGCAAATTTCCATTTTAAGAAAAGCGTGAAGGAGAAAATCAGCATTCTTCTCCCCCCTCAGATCACTTCGTTCTTTCAGATCTGTTCTTTCAATCAGTGACTATTTGTTCTTAATGATAATGGGAAGGGAATGTGTGTAACGTATACAATTCTATATAAGATTGTCATTTTCTATGAACATGAATTAATATTATATTCTTTACTTTTATTTGATTCTTCATATTTAGACCATCACACTAATGGTTTTCATGCAGAATCAATCAAACAGGCAATAGGCACTCTAGTCTAATAACTACATTTAAGTATACTTTGGTCTAAATAACATGTTTATGAAATTCTTAAGAGGTTTCTCTAGATTTTTTTTTAAGAAACTTTTAAAAACTTTAGAAGAACACATGAAAAAGGGAAGGGTACTATTAAAAAGGTTGAGGGCAGGATTGTGCAATTCTAGGATAAGGATTTTTTTTTTTTTTTTTTGAGACGGAGTCTTGCTCTGTTGCCCAAGCTAAAGTGCAGTGGTGTTATCCCAGCTCATTGCAACCCCCACCTCCTGGGTTCAAGTGATTCTCCTGCCTCAGCCTCTCAAGTAGCTGGGATTACAGGCACCTGCCACCACACCCCGCTAATTTTTGTATTTTTAGTAGAGATGGGATTTCACCATGTTGGCCAGGCTGTTCTTGAACTTCTGATCTCAGAAGTTCTTGAACTTCTGACCATCACCGAAGTGATCCACCCACCTCGGCCTCCCAAGTTGTTGGGATTATAGGCATCAGCCACCACAAACAGCCAGGACATTTTTAAAGTGGGGATTATTAGTGGGTCAAAGACCTGGTGTTAAAGAGCAGTTCTCAGCCACAACATTTGAAAGCAGAACAAAGAATACACACCATTAACAACTGCCTGCCCTCCCCACCATATCCCAATTTCTCCCACTATCTGCTGAGTTACTTGCGGGTTCCACAATAGTCTCTGCTTTAACCATCCATGCTTCTCCCTGCACTTCAGGCTGAAAATTCTCTGAAGACAATAAGCAGAGGCAAACCTGGGGCTCATCTTACAGGTTCTCTTCTCACTGTCTTGTGCTGCCTTGTGTCAGATGTTTGAAAAGCATTTTCTTTTTTTTTTTTAATTTTAAAATTTTTTTTAAATTTTTTTTTTTTAAAGACGGAGTCTCGCTCTGTCACCTAGGCTGGGGTGCAGTGGTGTGATCTTGGCTCACTACAAGCTCTGCCTCCCGGGTTCATACCATTCTCCTGCCTCAGCCTCCCAAGTAGCTGGAACTACAGGTGCCCCCCACCACACCCAGCTAATTTTTTGTATTTTTAGTAGAGACAGGGTTTCACTGTGTTAGCCAGGATGATCTCAATCTTCTGACCTTGTGATCTGCCCGCCTCAGCCTCCCAAAGTGCTGGGATTACAGGCGTGAGCCACCACACCCGGCCTGAAAATCATTTTCATATATTTTACCGAGTTATATTGTTGTTTCAGGCAAGAGGGTAAATTCAGTCCCTGTTACACCATCATAACTATAAATCAAAGTTGTATTTGTTTTATTAAAAATCTAATCTTAGAAACAGACAAGATTTGAATTTCTATTGATATTTTATATGCAGATCAAAATTGGCCATCTCCATTGCTCCTTACATCCTATGCTGTGTCAGGAGTTATCTTGAGATGAAAGCCTAAGTTTCTTAATGCAAGAGAGTTGGCCATGACATCATTTCCCTTTCAGCATATAAAGTTAACATAACTGGCCAGGCGTGGTGGCTCATGCTTGTAATCCCAGCACTGTGGGAGTCCGAGGTGGGGGAATCACCTGAGGTCAGGAGTTCGAGACCAGCCTGGCCAACATGGTGAAACCCTATCTCTATTAAAAATACAAAATTAGCCGTGCATGGTGGCAAGCACCTGTAATCCTAGCTACTCTGGAGGCTGAGGCAGGAGAATTGCTTGAACCTGGGAGGTGGAGGCTGCAGTGAGTTGAAATCATGCCATTCTACTCCAATCTGGGCAACAAGAGTGAAACTCCGTCTCCAAAAAAAAAAAAAAAAAGTAACATGTAATGTAACATTTCTAAATAAGCAGATCTACAGTTTCTATTATTTAGAGTTAAGTACATTGAATGGCCAAATGTTCTAAAAATTTACCAAGACAAGTCACATGTTGAAGATAATTAAGCACAAGAGAATAATGAGTAAATTAGCTGTCACGTGATAAAGAGTGTGAACTCTTCATCAGCCACATCGTGAGGCAATAATGATGACCTAATTGAATATGAGATGTTGCAAAAAAATTTAATGATTGAGTATCCTGAAATATACATTTACATTTATTATTATTATAAATGGGTTCCTTGAGATATTAGCAATAATACTTTGAAAACATCATGATTAGCATGACATTTTAACAAATACAACAGAAAGGCTGGTAAAACAGAACAAGAGCCCGGAGAAAGACCCATGTGTAGAGAGTCATTTGATTTTTGACACAGCTTACACTGCAATGTTGTTGGGATGGGAATGTCTTTTTAGTAAGTGGTGCAAGGTTAATTAGGTATCTACATAGGAAAGACCAAATCAAACCTCTGTGATACAATACACAAAAGTCGGTTCTAGCAATGTTGTAGATCTAATGTTAAAGTGAAAAATAAAGCTTTTGGAGGAAAACATAAAAGAATACCCTTAAGACCTTGGTAGAAGCAAAGATTTCTTCAAAAGGGATAAACTTAAAGAGAGTTAAGAGAGATAAAAGCCAACTACCATCTTAAAAGAAGGTATTTACTATCTATTTTTGAGAAAGGACTCATAGACAGAATATAGAAAAATCTCCTATAAATGCAAAAGATAAAGTGTCAATCCGGTAGAAAAATGGACAGAAAACTCAAACAGCATTTTACAAATTACGATATCCAAAAGCCAAAAAACATATAAAATGACGCTAAAATTTATCAGTCATAAGGGAAATGTGAATTAAAACCACATACATAACATATTGACTAAAATGAAAAAGACAGGAAACACCAAATTAGTAAGAACGAGTACTAAAAGAATGAGAACAACAACAACAAAAAAAAACAAAGAGAACTAAAAGAACGAGTACCTAAAAAAAATAGTTTCCCTGCTAGTGTGAGTATAAATTGGTATCAACATTTTGGAAGACAGATTATTATCTAATAAACCTGAAAATATACCTTCCTTATTATCTATTAATTCACTCTTTCATAATCACCTTAAAAATGTGAATATTAATATGCATCTTTAAATAGTGGGAACACACTAAAACACATATGCAAGAATGTTCATAGAAACATCTTTTAAATTAACCCAATGTGAAAAGCAACCTAGAAGTTAATTTACAGTAAAATGGACAAATTAATATTCATACAATAGAATACTATATAGCAATTGCAATTGTTGAATGAACTACAACAGAATGTCTCAGTAATTCAACTAACTCACCATAGGTTCTTAAAGAAAATTCAAAAAATCAATTAGTGAATGAATAATCCATTCATAACTCATTCATAATTACTCAAATAGAATGAGTAGTCAGAATTGTGTTTTGTGGTACTTATTTTTATAGAGTACGTATTTTTATTCTCGAACTTTGATATTAATGTGCTGCAAACAATGTTTTCTCATGCTTGCTCACTTTTCAAAAAATTACACCCTTTATAAAACATTGAATCTGTTGTGCACTTAGGTGAACCTTTAAAACACCATCTTTATTAAGAAAGTCTTCAAGCATTTTGAATGCATTCTTTTATGCAACAAGTTGATTTTTCCCTAAGCCCACATGATGTGCCATATAAGTAGCATATAAGAATAATTCTCGGCTGGGCATGGTGGCTCACGCCTATAATCCTAGCGTTTTGGAAGGCCGAGGTGAGTGGATCACTTGAGGCCAGGAGTTCAATACCAGCCTGGCCAACATGGTGAAACCCCATCTTTACTAAAAATGCAAAAATTAGCCAGGCATGGTGGTGCATGCCTGTAATCCCAGCTACTTGGGAGGCTGAGGCAGGAGAATCGCTTGAACCCAAATGACCCAGGAGGCAGAGTTTTCAGTGAGCCGTGATCGTGCCACTGCAGTCTAGCCTGAGTGAGACTCCATCTCAAAATAATAATAATAATAATTCTTAGAAACTTTTATTTTTGTGATATGCATTCAGAAAGAAAATGCAATAACCAACTAGGGCTTTAGTCAAACATTTGCTAGAATGAATATTTTTTTTTTCTTATGGCCTTAACCAAAAATTCAACTAGAATTTCTCAAAAACTTACTTATACTTGTGTATGTAGACACAATTCAAGATGGTCCTAAAATCATCTAATTAAGCACCGGCGAAGTGTATTTTCTATTAATATTTTCTGGTACTAAGGGATGATGTTGTATGACACATAAAGCCAAACGTAAATATCTGGAGTCTTACATTCACTTCAGAAACACATGTAAATATTCAGAATCTACACTGTATTCACTACCATTTGGGGGGTATAAAAAGGGGAAGGAAAGAAGGAAGAAACGGAGACACCGTAGAGCTCACAGGTTTAAGGGGTTGTTTTGAGATCCTATTTTAAAATACAGCATAAAAGGGAGATTAGATTTCAGGATAGATTCATTTCCTATTAATATGGACAGACCCACATAAAACTTCACAAATAGGTTAGAGCCTAGGAAAAAATTTATAACAAAATTTGCCTCCGCTATCTATATATGACCTTGTAAATTACTTCTCCCTTCTTCTTCCATCAGTTACCTAACATCTTCTTGCTATCTAACTCATCTATCCCATCTTCACAGAAGCCATCTAGGGGAGAGTTAAGGTCTCTCTTGCCTAAGGTCCTGAATTTCCTGCTGCTGCCTCACGTAGATTGCTGCTGTCATATCCAATCATCCTATAGCTTGCCCCAAACACCCTCCTGTGCCCCATACTATTGGTGATGGAGAATCATTTATGATGCATCTACTGTGTTTACCAATGCTCTCCAGAATGTCTTCTGGGCTCTGATTTCAGTCTGGAATCGAGCTCCATCTCTTTTCTAGTACTCAGGGTATCCTCTCAGTTTTTCATGTTTCGAATTCTTAGCTTTCTTACAATGGTCATTGATTTTTCCCCCACTTCTATTTTCACTTATTTGTATTTGGTATCAGAGGGGAGACTTCAACATTGATCAGTCTGCTATCTTGAATTGAAAGTGTTGTCTGTGCTCCTTGAAAAAGACACAACTAAAAAAAAGTGGCAAGTGTAGTGGCTGTGAAAACACCCCTCTCAGATCTGTGACTACAAGAAGCGGAATGACTGAGGCCCAAATTCTCTGTTAGTCACATTCACCTGCGTTCACGCAGCCTACAGGCTCCCAGCTAATGACAATTACACGGAGGGCTGCTGCTCTAGAAAGATGCAGGATAGCTCTGACCTGCAACTTTTGCCCGATGTTTTCCACAATGACTTTGCTGAACTTTCTTTACAACATCACTAATGTCTAAGATGCTCCCATACAGCCTTCCTTTTCTGTCTCCTTCTCTGGATCCCTCTTCCAGCCTCTTCTGGCTCCCTTCCCATTTTTTCTCACTGGCATTTTCCTACTACATTTCTTGTGTAATTTACCCTGTTTCTGTGTCTTTTTAGCAAGAACTTGGAGGAACACACAAAGACATGAATACATATACATGTGTGTTATGTATGAAAACTGAGAGGAATCTAGCATGGAAGTTTGCTGTATTTTGAGCACAGGAACAGGCTGAGGAGTTTGATAGGGAGTAGTGGGGACCAAAGGTTCACCTACGTAGTGGACAGACAAGCCAGGCTTCTCTACTGCATAAAACTGAAGGCTGAGGAAGAACTCCACTTATGTGAAATCTAAAACACATGGGAACCACTGCCCAGAGTACAGCTCCATAGAAATGCTTAGCTACAGTGGAAGGGAGAGCAATGGCAACACCTCAAACAGGAGCAAAGTCAAATCCCACCCTGGCTGGGTGGTGAATGAATCCATTGTCATTGAGATTGGGATTCTGTAACTACCAGGAGGGGATCTGAGTTTAGACTGTACTTCTTGATGGCTTGGAGGGAACCACAAGATTTCTAGACAGAAGAGATCAGTAGAAAAAGAGAGAGGACTAACATTTCGGTTAAAATATGCTCTCAAGCTAAAGTTACAAATCATATTAGGAAAACTGACAGCAAGGAAGTCACAATATCAAAAATAAGAAGGTTAATTTATTCAAAATGAACTTTTTCTGAAAGCACAATGCTAAATAACTCTAAAATAAATATGCTTTGCATTTTTAGAAAGATAAAAACATCTGTAAAAATAAAAAAGAAAATATAAAAAATTATACTAAATACCACTGTTATATATTTATTTACTCTATAATTTTTAAGGAGATAGGTAAATATAAAAAAGAAAGCATTAAGATTGTACAGAAGATAGACATAGCAGTTCCAATATACGTCTAAGAATAGTTTCAGGAATGGAGAACAGTATTTGAAGAGCTAATGTTAAAGATTTCCAGAAGGATATGAGTCTTGCAGAAACTCACTAAGGAACGAGAAGGATTAAAAAAAGTCACGCTGAGACATATCATAGTCTACGAAACACTAAGAATAAAGAGAGACTGTTAAAAGCTCTCAAGAACAAGTGAGATTACCAAAAAAACAAAAACCAAAAAACTCAATTATTAAAAGATATCTTATTCCTATGACACAATCTTCTAGAATACAATAGATTAGCTTATTCTATGAAGTAACAATATAAGTTATGTTCGAATGTTTCCATAAAAATTATCGTTCAAGAGTCATTGTGAGTAAAGCATCTATGAAAATTTAAGAAAAACTAAAATGTTTTACCAAAACACTTGGAGAATGTGCTTTCAGCAATAAGAAAAGTAAATCCGGAGGGAAGGAGTAAAATGCAAGAAGCAAGTGTGAGGGATAATACCATATGAAATATAAATCAGATGGTATAAAATATAGAGTATGTAAAATGTCATATAAACTATATTCTACTTGTTTTATTATTTATATTAAAATGACATGACTTCAAATTTTATACAAACGTTACAAGAAGGGAATGGTAAATAGATAACTAAAGAATATGTATATGTTTTCTTGTGTAACAATATGGTAGTGATACCCAAAATAGAAAATTTTCTTTAAAAATATAGTATTACGTATTACTAGTTACTGCTAGGTTAAGAAAAATGCAATATAAAACTTCCAAATCAAGAAAGTGCAAAAAGGGACAATTTAGGAAAAACTGCTGACCTTCTTTCCTTCACGATTTGTTCCTTTCCTTGAGTCAAACTCTTCAGCTCCCATTGCTTTAAGGCTCCCAGAACTGGGGGTGAGTAGAGAAGTGCTGTGGTCTCAATGTTGGCATATCCCCTCAAAATTCATATGTTAAAACCCACCCTATAATGTGGTGGTATGACGAGGTGGGGCTTTGGGAGGTGGTTAGGTGATGAGGATAGAGTCCTCATGAATGGGATTAGCACCTTTAGATCTGAAAGAGATTGTTTATCCCTTTTCCCATGTTGACACAGCTAGAAGGCTCTGTCTCTGCAGCAGAGAGCTCTCATCAAACACTGAATCTTCAGGCACCTTAATCTTCCCAGCCTCCAGACCTGTGAACAATAAATTTCCACTGTTCATAAATTACCCAATCTAAGGTATTTTGTTATAACAACCTGAATGAACTAAGACCTAAGATGGGGTGGGAGGCAGAATCCATTCATATGGTTGCAATTTTACTAATATTTGGGTTTTAAAACCAGAAATAAAAATAAAATAAATGTAAAATAGTTGATGTGAAATTCTAGAGTCCACTTTAAATGTTTACCGAGCAAGGGAATTGATTTTGTAAAGGAACAGGCACGATGTAAGAAATCCTCAGAAAGGAAGGAAAAGTCGGTAATAAACAGATATCTGAGCAGAAATTGGAGCTTGACAATTGTATGACATCAAGGTAGACTGGGGGCTATGCAACTTCAGAAGCTAGGGAATTAAAACCTGACTTTTGTCTTTTAACCTATGTACACACATCTGCAAAATGTTGAGCAAATGCTATAGTGGTACCATGGGAAACTGTCAATATTGATATAGCCTATGGATAAAGGGAACTCACAATTTAAAAACAGACTAAGCAAACCAACTTCACTATGTCAAAGTATTCCAATTACGATCATTTTTAAGAATTGCCCCATGTGAATATCTATTTGTCTTGCCTTTCACTAAGATTATCATCAAATCTACATCTTTTAATTTAATTATAATTTGTTTGATTTTTTAAAATCATGCGGTATTTTTTAGTTTCTTGATCATGCTATCTCAGATCATAACTTATAAAATTATACCATCTTGCTGGAGAGTTCAATCAATCAGAGCAATGTGTTTAAGTTTTCTTTCTATTTTTCTGTCTTGTTTTAGAAGAAAATCTATAGATATTTTTTCTTCATGTAGATTTTCATTATTATATCTTAATTACTGCTATGTTTTCAGAGTATGTACAGACTGTTACCTGGATGAAAAAGCACTTCACAGTCTTCCAGACTCACCTACTTTAAATATAGGCAGTCCTTGCTTTGCATGGTAGTATGGGACAATAAAATAATCATGGGAGTTGAACATGTGATAAGTAAACTTGGTCATTAAAAAAATAGCAATTGTCCCATTAGCTTTAAAATGTTTTGTTCAAACATTAAAAATCCTTTTACTCTCCACGATAATTGTATACAAAAATTAAAAAAAATAGTAGTTTAATACACTGTAATTTAAAACATTAGAAACTGAGGACTTAAGTGTTTTACTTGCTGTTAAAAAAAATAAGGAGTAATTTGAAAGTGTTTTCATTGCATAATATATAGTGTAGAGAAAGGCTTTTATCATGTTTTGGCAATTTGTCATACTCTTTTCTAAGTCTACTTTAAACAGTGTATGCTTTTGCCTCCAAGTTGTGAAATATCCCTCAGAGTTTCTTTAATGTGAAGTTTTTGTCAGCATCAGTTCCTCTCGAATGTCTTAATTCTTTTCATTATGTTTGACTTCACTGTGGTCCTCTAGCTGCATATCTATAGTCTCTTGAAATGTGACAGTTTTTATATTCCCATAGTAAGTTACTTCTCCTAGAACTTCATTTGCATTTTGCTTGAACTTTGCTTCTAGCATTATCACTTTTTGTTTCCTGGCTACATTTTTATCTTTCTTGGGCAGCTTTCTCTCTCGATATTCATTTTAGTAAAATGTCGTGTGGGTTTATCACTGGGCAGCAAGGAGGAAATATAACTACATGCGTTGCTGTCTGTACATGAAATTAACAACATATGTTCAGTGACCAATCAACAAAATACTTTGAAAGAAGTGAACATCTGTGATTTAATATAGTGACTGTGGACTAAAGAGTTTATATCAAAGTTATACCTTATGAAATTACTCACAGTTGAATACACCATGGTAACTGAAATTTGAACCATGCTGTTGAGGAAGTAGTATTTAACTAAACCATGGTACATGAAAGCCATTCATACGAGAATCATTCAAAGTGAAGATTACTTGTGCAAGAACCTTATTAGGTTAAAAGTTTAAGGATAGAAAACAATTTTCCATATCAGGACACACACAAATGCACACTGGCTAATATAAAAAAAAATTCACAAAATATTAACAAGAATAAGAGAGGTCTTTCACAATAATATGATAAATTCAGGACATAAAAATAATAAATATATAAAGATCTAAAAGGAGAGATACAAAGCACATGAAGGAAACCTGTTATAGCTGGAAGGAGAAATAATGAAATCCAATATTGATGGAGATTTCAATATCCCCTTTCAATGATTACAGAATGAAATAGATAGAAAATTGTTAGGAACACTCAAACTATGAAAAAGCTAGACCTAGTTGACATCTATAAAGCACTTCCACCCAATGACAGCAGAATACACGTTTTTTAAAAATTTGCACAGAACCTATATCAAACGTGGGTCCATAAAAGAATTCTCAATAACTTTACATTTGAAAGTATTGAAATCATAAAAATATGTTTTCTAATAACAATAAAATTGAATTTAAAAACAGAAATGAAAGATATCACTAAAATTCCCAAATATTTACAAATTAAACAGCATAACTTTGCATAATCCATAGGTCAAAGAGAATATTATGTCTAAAATTTGAAAATATATGGAATTTAATAAAAATAATAACACAAACATCAAAAAATTTGAAGAATGCAGCTAAATTGCCCTTAGAGATAAATGCGTAGCATTAAACATTAGAAAGGAAGAGGAAACTTATTCCAAAAAATGTAGAAAAAGTAATAATACAGATAAGACTAGAAATCAATGAAATTGGAAACAGAAAAAAAATAGAGGTGCCTTTGTTTTGTGCTGCTGTAATGGGATACCTGACACTGGGTAATTTAAATGAACAGAAATTTACTGGGTCACAGTTTTGAAGTCTAGAAAGTTCAAGATCAAGGGACCAGAAGCTGGCACAGTCTTCTTGCTGTATTATCCCATGATATCCCATCCTAGGTTTGTTTTGTGCTGCTAGAACAGAGTACCTGAGACTGGGTAATTTAGAAAGAACAGAATTTCCTTCTTACAGTTCTGGAGGCTGGGAAGTCCAAGGTCAAAAAGCCACACCTGGTGGGGGCCTTCTTGCTGTGTCATCCTATGGTGGAAAGCAAAAGGGCAAAATACCATGTGCAAGAGAGAACAAGAGAGGGCTGAACTCACTTTTATAACAAGCGCACTCTTGCAATAACAAACCCACTCCCACAGTAACAACATTAATCCACCCATGAGGGTGGAATCCTCATGACAATAACCTCTTAAAGGTCCCACCTCTCAACACGATTGCATTAAGGATTAAGTTTCCAACACAGAAACCTTCCAGAACACATTCAAACCATAGCAAGAGGAAATCAATAAAACTAAAAGCTTGTTCCAATACTCCAGCCAAACTAATGTGTACGAAAAGTGGAGACATAAAATATAAATGAGAAGACATCATTCAATATTATAAAGGCTTTAAAAAATAATTAGAGAATATCATACCAATATAGTTGAATACTTAGAAAACAATTAATAAATTTCATGAAAGACACAAACTAACAAGATTCATACCACTAAAACCATAAAACTTGAAAGGCTCTATTTCTCTCAAAAATATTTAATTTGCAGTTAAAGCTTTTCCACAAAGTAAATCCGTTACAGGTATCCACACTGTTGAATTCTACCAAACATTTAGAGAGGAAATATACCAATACAAGTCAAACTATGTCTGAAAATACAAATGGAGAAGACACTTGCCATCTCATTCTATGAAGTCAACATTATTCTGATACCAGAACCAGACAAATACATGACAAAAAAATTAAACTACAGGTTAATAGTCATCATAAAACTTATTATAAAAATTCTCAACAAAACATTAGCAGATTTAATCTAGACATAAAAATAACATCATGACTCATTGGAACTTATCTATGAGTGCATGCTTGATTTAAATTTCAAAATTAGACAATATAATTAACAAGATTAACAGATTAAAGGTGAAAAACCATATTTTCATTTCAATAAATGTGAACAAAAGCTAAACAAAGATTTGTGATAAGAATTCTAGGCAAAATTGGAATGCAAAGGAAAAATTTCCTTGTTTATAAAAGGTAATTACAAAAAAGAAAGAAGCCTATGGTGGAACACTTAATTCTTTACTCCTAAGTTTGTTAGCAAAGCTAGGTTTTTCATTCTCACAACTTCTATTAAATATCACACTATAGATCATGTGTAGTAAGTAGAAAAATAAAGTGATAAAATGGATGTTAGAAAGAAAAAGTATGATTATGTATACAATACATAATTTCTTGTAGAAAAACTTAGGAAATCTATGCAAAAATCACTAGAACTTTTATGTGATGTCAGCAAGGTTATAGCAGTCAAGGTCAATATATAAATATCAATTGTATTTCTATATACTAGCAATGAACGATGTGAAACTAATGTGAAAAAATACTTTTTGCAGTACATCAAAAACAAAAAAGGAAAATGTTAAAAAAATTAAAAAGGAAAAATTAAACAAAGGCTGTGCCAAAGCTTTCAACTGAAAACTGTAAAACATTGCTGAGAGCAACTTCAAAACACCTATATAATTTGTGAGCTATACCATGCTCATGGAGCAGAACACTTAATATTGTTAAGATGCTTTTTCTCCCAAATAAGTCTATAGATTTTACAAAATCTAAATCAAAGTTCCAGAAGCATTTTATAAAATTGGCAAGCTTATTCTAAAATGTATACGAAAAAGCAAAGTATTAATAACTAAAATATGCAACTCATGCTTAAAAACCAACAACAAATTTTGCAGAAAACATAACTGATATATAAATTTTTAAAAATGAGTGTCGTAGTCTGCTCAGGCTAACATAACAAATTACTATAGGTTCAATAGCTTACCCAAGAGAAATTTATACCTAAGGTTTTTGGAGGCTAGAAATCCAAGACCAGGGTACCAGCATGGTTACGTTCTAATGACAACTTTCTTCCTGGCTTACAGATAACTGTATTCTCGCTGTATTCTCACATGGCAGAGAGAGAGAGATGAAGAGAGATGTCTGATCTCTCTTCTTATAAGGGTATCAGTCCCAACATGAGGGCCCCATCCCCTGATCTGATCTAAACCTATTACCTCACAAAGTCTCTATCTCCAAATAGTGTCATATTGGGGATTAGAGTTAGGGCTATAACATATAAACTTTGGGGGAGACATAATTCAGGCCATACCAGTAGGCTAAAGTTACTCATAATGTGTATATTAGAAATGTGTATATTAGAAACTTCATTAGCAAAAGTAAAATGTGTCTATTGCATCATTGTTTTAAGCAATATTTTCATGATCTATGAAAAGGATATTTCACAGCCTTATTATTTTGAGAGGCATATGTCTTAATATTCATTTGTTAATTTATTTATCTATTTAAACATGTATTCAACATCACTAAGAGATGCTCTGGCGTTGATCTTAAGGACCCAGTCTCTGGAGGTGAGCACACAGGGCCTGAATCCCCTATCTGCCACCTAATAGCTGAGTGACCTTGAATAAGCTTTATTAATCTCTCTCTGCCTCACTTTACTAGTTTATACAATAAAAGTGATAATAGCACCTATCTCAAAACTGTTATGACTATTAAATCAGTTGCCACAGTGTCAGATATGTATTAGATTAAAAAAATTAATTCATATTATTAAGTAGTTATAAGCATATATTATATGCCAGTAATACTATGTGACTGCACATAAACAATAAACACAACTGGAAGCAAAATATTTGGATAACAATTCCTTATCCAAGTTTTTCTCTTTATCATTTTTTCACCACTTGAGTTGCTCATGTATATCTAGATGTTTTTAATATCTTGCGACTGTCAAATATGGACCAGGTTTTTAAAAGTTTTAAAACATGTGGCAAGATGTATTGTAAGTAGTTTCCAGAACTGGTAAGAGAAAATGAACATTTAAAAATTTCTTATTTTTTAAACATGCATTTTAAACACATGTAGCAGATATTTCCTGACTTCGTGTATTTTGGTCCTAAAATTTTTATCAGTAATGTCATTGAGTATTTTTCTTTTTCTTTTGAGGTTTCTTGATTGTATTTTTTTGTTGTTGAAAAAAAGGTGTTGTGGCTCATGCCTGTAACCCCAGCGTTTTGGGAGTCAGGGGCGGGCAGATCAACTGAGATCAGGTGTTTGAGACCAGCCTGGCCAACATGGGGAAACCCCGTCTCTACTAAAAATACAAAAATTAGCTGGGCATGGTGGCAGGCACCTGTAATCCCAGCTACTTGGGAGGCTGAGGCAGGAGAATTGCTTGAACCTGGGAGGTGGAGGTTGCAGTGAGCCAGATTATGCCACTGCACTCAAGCATGGGCGACAAGACAAAACTCCATCTCACAAAAAAAAGTATTCCTTGATGCATACATGCTGACATTTCCTTCCACTGCATTTTGTTGGCATTTTTTACTTTACATTTTTAATTCATCTAAAATTTGTTTTGATTTAAGTGGTGAGGTATGGATTTGACTTTGCTATTTTCCATATATGGATAGCTATTTGTCATCATGTTACTAAAACATCAATATTTCTTCTTTCTTTCTGAAATGGAAAGATGTTTCCAATGTTTAACTATAACAACAGGAGAAGAATGACAATATTTACTGAGATGGGAAAATGCAAAAGAATAAGAATATTTTGAAAGGAGGAGTAGAAATGATATATTTTGAAAATGTTATATTAAAGATACTATTAGTCATAAAAGTAAAGTTGTCCAGTTAAATATTCAAAGCTAACTATATGGCTTTGGTAGTCATCAGTATGTGGATGGCTTTTAAAGCCATGGGACCAAGTGATATCTCTAGGAAGTACACATAGTTAGGGAAGAAAAATGTTTAGAAAGCTTTTCCCTGGGGCTTTCAAGGATCTAAAGCTGTGTTTTTCAGTATGGTAGCCATTAGCTACATGTGGCTATTAAGAACTTGTAATTTGTTAGTCTGAATTGAGATTTGCTAAAAGTGTAAATAACAAACCACTTGATTTAAAAGAACTTAGTATAAAAAACATAGTATTAAATACATTATCTCATTAAAAACATGTATATTTACTATATGTTGAAATGGTAATATTTTGGATACACTGAATTAAATAAAATATAGCACTAAAAATAATTTCATGTTACATTTATGGTTCAAATTAAATTTCTATTGGACAGCGCTGATCTATAAACCAAAAGAAGACCTATCCAACAGAATGGGTGATATGGTTTGGCTTTGTCCCCACCCAAATCTCAACTTGAATTGTATCTCCCAGAATTCCACCGTGTTCTAGGAAGGACCCAGGGGAGGTAATTGAATAATAGGGTCTGTCTTTTCTGTGCTGTTCTTGTGATATTGAATAAGTCTCATGAGAGCTGATGGGTTTATCAGGGGTTTCCACTTTTGCTTCTTCCACATTTTTCTCTTGCCACGACCATGTAAGAAGTGCCTTTTGCCTCCCGCCATGATTCTGAGGACTTCCCAGCCATGTGGAGCTGTAAGTCCAATTAAACCTCTTTTTCTTCCCAGTCTTAGGTATGTTTTTATCAGCAGCATGAAAACAGACTAATACACTGGGCTAATGAGGAATGAAAGGGAAGCGAGCAAATCAGCAAGAAAATGTGATGTTCTGGAGATTACATTAAAATTTTAAAACTTTGTCAAAAGGGAAAAGATGAATTGGATTAAAAAGTGATTAATTAGGGCAGGCGCAGTGACTCACACCTGTAATCCCAGCACTCTGGGAGGCCGAGGCGAGTGGATCATGAGGTCAGGAGATTGAGATCATCCTAGCTAACACGATGAAACTCTGTGAAATCCTGTCTCTACTAAAAATACAAAAAAAATTAGCCAGGTGTGGTGGCGGGTACCTGTAGTCCCAGCTGCTCGGGAGGCTGAGGCAGAAGAATGGCATGAACCCGGAAGGTGGAGCTTGCAGCAAGCCAAGATCATGCCACTGCACTCCAGCCTGGGCAACAGAGTGAGACTCTGTCTCAAAAAAAAAAAGTGATTACTTAGCCATTAGACTTTGTAATAAGGGTAAGAGTAATTTCAATGCAGTTTTAAGAACAAAAGTCTGTTTAGGAAACAACCCAATGCGCATCACTGGTAAATGGATAAGCAAAATGTAGTGCATTTGATGCAGGAGAGGCAAACCCCCACATTGGCCTTAGCTTGAGAGGGTTCCTGGCTTCACCCAGGAAAGAATTAAAGGGCAGGTCAGTGCTGTTAAACAGCAACTTTTGTTGAAGCAGCAGCATACAGCATCAGCAGAGGTACTCATCCTTGCAGAGTAGGGCTGCTTCGTAGGCAATGTGCCCAGAGCAGCATCTCAGAGGCAATTCTGCAGTCATATTTATATGCACTTTTAATTATATGCAAATTAAAGGGTGGATTATGCAGAGATTTCTAGAAAAAGGATGGTAACTTCCTAGTCATTGGGTTATTGACATGGAAAGGGACAGTACCTTTCAGGTGTTGCCATGGCAATTGTAAACTGACATGACACAGTGGTAGGCATACCTTATGGAAAGCTGTTTCTTCCCTGGCCCTGTTTAAGCTAGTACTCAATCTCGTCCAGTGTCCAAGCCTCATCTCTGGAGTCAAGTCCCATCTCCTGAGTAGAGTTCTGCTTTCTACCTCATTTTCATACACTGGAACACTATATAACAATAAAAAGGAGTATATTACTGATATTTGTTTCAACATGAATAATTTCTTTTTAGTTTTGCTAAGTGAAAAAGATGAAAAATACTACATAGTTTATAATTTGTTTATATTAAATACCCAGAGAGGGACTTCCCGACTGGGGCTTCCAGCCATGCCTGTTGATGTTCTCTGGCCAATAGAGATTTTAAAACTTCCTGGGA